>NC_000010.11:14858484-15010000 GCF_000001405.40 Homo sapiens | reverse complement strand
TTGTTACAAATAAGATCACAGGGTGTACAAACATGGTGTACACTCACTGTGATATCAGGAGTCATATCTCTGTAATATATTATGAATAATATCACAGGGTGTACACCCACTGAATTATTCAGAGTAATATCTCTGTAGGATATTACTATTAATATCACAGGGTGTACAGTCACTGTGATATTAGGAGCAATATCTTTCTAGGATATTACAAATAATATCACAGGGTGTACGCCCACTCTGCTGTCAGGAGCAATATCTCCCTAGGATATCAAAAATCCTATCACAGGGTGTCCAATCTCTGCCTTCCAGGTTCTAAGGGATTCTCCTGCTTCAGCCTCCCGAGTAGCTAGGGTTACCCCCCACCACGCCCAGCTAATTTTTTTTTTTTTATTTTCACTGGAGACGGGGTTTCACCACCTTGGCCAGGCTGGTCTGGAACTCCTGACCTCAGGTGATCCATCAGCCTTGGCCGCCCAAAGTGCTGGGATTACAGGTGTGATCCATGGCACTCGGCCAAGAGTTATATATTCAATTCATTTGGAAACACAGCTCCCATATTTGAGTGTGCATGTACTTTTTTGAAGAAATGATGTCAGAAAACCTCAGGATGATAATAAATATGAAAAGTAACTGGCATGTGAAAAGGTGTTCCGATTAAGAACTCTAAGTTTCGATTTCGTTTTTAGATAATGTGGTCCTAGCTCTTGTATCGTCCTTTTACATATTCTACATCAAAGGAATTTGTAGCACGGTGTCAGAATAAAACAGAGTGTATTTCACAGCTTCTTAATTTCTTTCAATTAGACTGAGATCTTTTTCTTCAAGAGAGAAGGACATTTTCATTGCATTGTATTTTTTCTGAAAAGAGTAGGCCGTATTTTACTGAGATCACGGATTTGTTATATATGACGTTTTGGTCTCCTAACATTCTCTAGTGGATTTTCTCTAAAGTAGTATGTACAGAAAGAGTTCAATAGCAAAAAAGTAAATCATGTAATAATTCTGAGATTTTTGGATTTGTCACAACTGAGAAACATCGCTGGCAGTGTACGGTCCGCAAGTGTGAAAATGTTCCTTTTCATTTGCTTGCATCCAAAATATACACACAGCATTAAGGGCTGGTTTTTATCTTTTCTTTTTCCAATCCTCTTTTCTTCCCAAGGTGTCCAAGTCACACAGAGCCACAGAATCTCACAGGTATCTGAGAATTCCTCCTCCTGGGACTCTCAGAGGATCCAGAACTGCAGCCGGTCCTCGCTGGGCTGTCCCTGTCCATGTATCTGGTCACGGTGCTGAGGAACCTGCTCAGCACCCTGGCTGTCAGCTCTGACTCCCCCCTCCACACCCCCATGTACTTCTTCCTCTCCAACCTGTGCTGGGCTGACATCGGTTTCACCTTGGCCATAGTTCCCAAGATGACTGTGGACATGCAGTCTCATAGCAGAGTCATCTCTCATGCGGGCTGCCTGACACAGATGTCTTTCTTGGTCCTTTTTGCATGTATAGAAGACATGTTCCTGACTGTGATGGCCTATGACAGATTTGTAGCCATCTGTCGCCCTCTTTACTACCCAGTCATCATAAATCCTCACCTCTGTGTCTTCTTCGTTTTGGTGTCCTTTTTCCTTAGCCTGTTGGATTCCCAGCTGCACAGTTGGATTGTGTGACAATTCACCTTCTCCAAGAATGTGGAAATCTCTAATTTTGTCTGTGAGCCATCTCAACTTCTCTACCTTGCCTGTTCTGACAGCATCATCAATAGCATATTCATATATTTTGATAGTACTATGTTTGGTTTTCTTCCCATTTCAAGGATCCTTTTGTCTTACTATAAAATTGTCCCCTCCATTCTAAGGATTTCATCGTCAGATGGGAAGTATAAAGCCTTCACCACCTGTGGCTCTCACCTAGCAGTTGTTTGCTTATTTGATGGAACAGGCATTGGCATGTACCTGACTTCAGCTGTGGCACCACCCCCCAGGAATGGTGTGGTGGCGTCAGTGATGTACGCTGTGGTCACCCCCATGCTGAACCCTTTCATCTACAGCCTGAGAAACAGGGACATTCAAAACACCCTGTGGAGGCTGCGCAGCAGAAGAGTGGAATCTCATGATCTGTTCCATCCTTTTTTTGTGTGGGTGAGAAAGGGCAACCACATTAAATCCCTACATCTGCAAATGCTGCCCCTTAGTCACATTATTTTTGTGGCTTGATGGCTTTTATTCCTTTCCGCATTTCCTATGTGAATATTGTTTTCTTCGTTATGCCTTTAACTGGAATGGGTGAGTATTCTGGGCTCCTTTGTTTAGCAGAAACCTCATGACAGAATCCTCTATACCTAGGCGGCCTCCTTTAGTTTCTGAGCAATAACCCTGTCATCCAGGTGGAATCACAACCATCTTTTTATATACATGAAGTCCTCACTTCATTTTGGAATTCCCTGAAAATTGACTTGATGGAAACAATGTACAGCAAGTCTTCCAACACAATTGGTGCGTTCAAAGTTGTGTAGTTATAATGTTGGTGAGGAATAAGTGGTTTCACTATACCTAATTTTGCTTAAAGGTGAAGTTTCCAAGAGACTTTCAAAGATATTAAGTGAGGACATACTGTACATCAAATTCATATCCTCTTCCAGAGTTCATGTGGAATTTCTTTATAAACTGCTTCTAGAGAATCTATTTAGGCAGGTTATGTGTAGAGATCCATGTCGCCGTTCCTCAATCTTGGCTTTGAGTCAAATCACCTGGGGAGCTTACAGATGATGAGGCCTGGGTCTCAATACCTGAGATTCTGATTTCCCTGCACCTGTGTGAGTATGTGGATTTTTTTTTTTTTTAAAGCACCAGAGGTGGTTCCAATGACGAAGTTTTTAGAGGCATCAAGCTCCAATGAGTAAGAGCAGAAGTTAATTGTAATATGATTTCTTCAAATATTATCTTCAAATGCATTGTCCATCAACACCATACAAATGTTTATTATGCTGTTGTTTCTTACCATTTAGCATTTTCCATTTTTTTCTTTTTCTTTTTTTTTCTTTTTTTCTTTTTGAGGCAGAGTTTCATTCTTGTTGCCCAGGCTGGAGTGCAATGGCACGATCTCGGCTCACTGCAACCTCTGCCTCCCCTATTCAAGCGATTCTCCTGTCTCAGCCTTGCAAGTAGCTGGGATTACAGGCATGCACTACCATGCCTGGCTAATTTTTTTTTTTTTTTTTTTTTTTTTGGTATTTTTAGTAGAGACAGTGTTTCTCCATATTGGTCAGGCTGGTCTTGAACTCCCGACCTCAAGTGATCTGCCCGCTTCCGCCTCCCAATGTTCTGGGATTACAGGCATGAGCGATCGTGCCCAGCCACCACTTAGCATTTTCATTTTACATTTGTTGAAATTATAGATTTATACACACTTGGATTGCTGCTTTGTTATACACTTGCATATACATAAGATGGGAAATAGAAAAGAATAAAATGGGCATGGTATCCCTGAAGTTTCACATTCCGAGACATGTTAAAAATATTTGCTTTTTAGAAATTTGTTTCAATTGAGGAACTGTGGTATACACACCCAATGAAGTATTATTCAGCCTAAAAAGGAAGAAAATCGTCTCCATTGCAGACAAAATGGATGAGATTGCAGGTCTGTATATTAAGTGAAATAAGCCAGGCACAGAATGACAAATATTTCACATCCTCACTTCTATGTAGGAACAAAAAAGAAAATCTTGGCCAGGTGTGGTGGCTCAGGCCTGTAATCCCAGCACTGTGGGAGGCCGAGTCACACGGATCACTTGAGGCCAGGAGTTGGAGAACTGCCTGGCCAACATGGTGAAACCCGTCTCTACTGAAAACACAAACAATTAGCTGGGCGTGGTGACACGTGCCTGTAGTCTCAGCTACTTGGAGGGCTGAGGCCCAAGAAGCGCTTGAACTCAGGAGGCGGGGGTTGCAGTGAGCCCGGATTGTGCCTGTATACTCCAACCTGGGCAACAGAAAGAGACTCCATCACACACCTACACACAAAAGGAATCTCAGGAAGGTGGAAAGTATAAAGGTGGTTAGCAGATGCTAGGAAGAAAAGGGGTGGGATGGGGAATGAAGAGAAGTGGATAATTGGGTCCCAAAATACAGAAAGATGGAATAAGTGAGTTCTAGTGTTTGACAGCACAGTATGAAAATTTTAGTTCACAGGAATTTCTTGCATATTTCCAGATGCTTTGATAAGAAGCTTCCTAACTTTCTCATTATGCTGGATTTTCAGCTATTATCTTTCTGCTCTCGAAATCATGCTGGATTTTTTGTTTTTGGTGTTTTGTTTTGAGACAGAGTTTCACTCTTGTTGCCCAGGCTGGAGTGTAATGGTGCAATCTTGGCTCACCGCAACCTCTGCCTCCTGGGTTCAAGCGATTCTCCTGGCTCCATATCCCGAGCAGCTGGGATTACAGGCATGCCCCAGCACGCCCAGCTAATGTTGTATTTGTAGTAGAGAGGGGGGTTTCTTCGTGTCTGTGAGGCTGGTCTTGAACTCCTGACCTCACGTGATCTGCCCGCCTCGGCCTCCCAAAGTGCTGGGATTACAGGCGTGAGCAACCGCGCCCGGTCCATGCTGCATCCTTATCTGTTGTCTGTTGTTGTTTGTTTGTTTTTGAGCCCAGAAATAACTTCTCCCCTATATGTTCAAATGATTTCTAACATGAGTGCTAAGAAAGTCCATTGGTGGAAAAGCAGCCTTTTCAAGAAATGGTGTTGGAGAAACTTGATTTCCACATGCAGAAGAATGAAGGTGGACCCTATGTCACAGAGGGTGCAAAAATGAATACAAACTGGATCAAAGACCTCACCCCAAGTGCTGAAAGAATAATATGCCTCAAAGAAAACATTGGCCACACTTTCATGACATCAGATTGGGCAGTGCTTTCTGGGATATGACACCAAAAGCATAGGCAACAAAAGAAAATTAGATTCCTTGGATGACATCTAAATGACAGACACTTTTGCGCATCAGCAAACACTGTGAACTGAGTGAAAAGATAACCCATGGATTAGGAAAAAGGTTTGCAAATCATATCTCTGAAAAGAGGCTAATATCCATCATATATAAAGAAGAGCCAGAACTAAACAACAAGAAACCCAAAGCACCCCATTAACAATGGTCAGAAGACTCGAGTAGACGTGTCCCGAAAGAAGATATAGCAATGGCCAATAAGCGCCTAAAATGATGTTCAAAATCACTAATCATAGGGAAGCGCAAATCAAAGCAAGAATGTGATACCACATATTAGGATGGATATGATAAACGAACAAGACTTGGTGAAACTAGAGAGAAGTAGGAATGCTCGAATCTGATTGGAGGGAGTGTAAAACCATGAAGGAATGGGGAAGATAGTATGGCCTGTCCTGGAAAATTAGAAACAGAATGATCAGATGTTCCCGCAGTTGCACTTGTGGGTACCCACCAAAAGGAATTAGAAGCCAGGAGTGGAAGAGAGATTTGTACACCCATATTCATAGCAGAGTTACTCAAAACAGCCAAAATGTGGAAGCAACCCAAGGGTTCGTGGGCAGATGAATGAAAAAGCACAGTGCAGTTCATTCATACAACGGAAGACTATTTAGCCATAAAAATGCAGGCACTTCTGGCTGGTGCGGTGGCTCACGCCTGTAATCCCAGCATCTTGGAAGACCGAGGTGGGCGGATCACCCGAGGTCAGGAATTCAAGACCAGCCTGGCCATCTTGGTGAAACCCTGTCTCTACTGAATATGCACAAAATTAGACGAGCGTGGTGGCGCGTGCCTATACTCCCAGCTACTCGGGAGGCTGAGGCACAAGAATCGCTGGAACCCGGGAGGCGGAGGTTGCAGTGAGCCCAGATTGTGCCACTGCACTCCAGCCTGTGTGACAGAGTGAGACTCCGTGTAAACACAAAACAAAACACAACCAAAAAAATAAATAAATAATAAAAAACCGAAAAAGCCAGGCAGGCACTTCTGACACAGGCTGCAACATGGATGAACCTTGAAGACATTATCGCTAGTGAAATAAATAAATCCCAAAAGGATAAACATGACCAGCCTCCGTGGCTCGCACCTGTAAACCCAGCACTTTGAGAGGCCGAGGCAGGCGTATCACTTCAGGTCAGGAGTTCGAGACCAGCCTGGCCATATTGTGAAACCTCGTTTCTATTAAAAATACAAAAATTAGCTGGGCGTGGTGGCGCACGCCTGTAACCCCAGCTACATGGGAGACTGAGACACAAGAATCGCTTGGACCCACGATGTGGAGGTTGCAGTCAGCCGAGACCATGCCACTGCACTCCAGCCTGGGTGACAGAGAAAGACTGTCTCCAAAACAAAGAAACAAAGAAAATGAAACACGGTATCATTCCCCTTCTGTCAAGTGTCTAGAGTAGTTAAACTCATAGAGTTGCAAAATAGAATGGTGGCCCCCAGGGGTGGGTGAGAGAGAGGAATGGAGAGTTTGCTTAATGGGTGCAATTTCCATTTTGAAAGCTAAAACTGTTCTGGAGATGATGGCAGTGATGGTTGCTAAACAATGTGAATGTACCTAATGTGATTAAACTCTAAACTGAAAACTAGTGGAAATTGTGAATGTTCATACTGGCCATTCTATATGCAATAATCTATATTTATAATTTTTAGGATTTATACGTGGTATATTTTCCCATAATAAAATATGAAAATTAAAGCACTTGGATCTTGAAAAAGAAAAGAAAGAGGCGAAGAATTTTACACAAGCTCTCTCCTGATTAGAGGAAGAGCCCCAAAACTTCTATGGACACTCACTTTTCCCTTCTTCTTCTTGCATGATTATGAGGAAATCTTTAGAGGTTGGGGAACTTGGGCGACTTCGGCTAATAAGGAGCTCTATGCCTTGAGCCCCCCAGGCCATAGAATAGTAAATACTCAGTCTGTGCCTCCAGCCCTGCAGTGTGAGGCTGCAGTCCTGTGGGCTCCACACCCATCACCTGTATCCTGAGGCTCATGTCTTGGCCTGTCTTCTTGTCATCCTTGAGGATGGAGTCTGAGCCTCCCCTGTGTACCACGCAGGGAAGACAGTGGACCTGTTCTCCGTGGTCATGGCCCAGCACAGGAGAAGGGCAGTTCAGTGAGTGCTGAGGGACGGTCGGGAGCCTTGTTTGTTTCCTCATCCTCAGGACAAACGGGAGAGTGCCATGGCCAGATGGGAGGAGACCAATGTGCAAACTGTCAGCTCAGCAGACTGTGGAGTTTCTGTTCTTGGTTGTGGTGGGGGGTCTCTCTCAGGAATCTTCTTCAAAATTGTGCTTCCCTCCCCCACTGGTTGTCCTTTTCATAGACATCTCACCCATGCAAGCAGGGAATGAGTCCCTCTCTAAACTGTTCCCTGAGAACAACAAAAAGATGATGAAGGTGATGATGAGGATAAAGAGGATGATGACAGACACCACGGCATCATGAACCCTTACTGAGGGCTTCCTAAAGGCAGGCTCTGAGCTCTGTGGTCTATGCTACTTGTTTCATTTCATCTGTGTAGTCTCCCAGTTATTAGTGCACATTTCATGATTATTTTACAGACTAGAAAAGGAGCAACACATTTTCATATAACTTGTACCAGATCATGAAGTCAAAAAGGGTGAAGCCCAATCTGAACCAGGCAGTCTAAGGCCAGACACATGACATTTGGCCATTCCTCACCCTGCATCCAACCTGCCCCCTCCAATCCTTGTCAGTCAGGCCGATGCCCCTGCTCACTGTGCCCTTCCCTTTGGGGGTTCCTTGTAGACCACAGCTAGACCAGTGGGTGCCGCAATCACTGTGTCAAGTATGGAAAGGGCAGCTGAGATCACATCAAAGATTCCAGAAAGAATTGGCACAGGATCATTTGGGATGCATCGCTCCCTTGCCCCTGTTCCTGGCTTTCCTTACAGCTCTCGACTTCCTCCAAGGAGTCATCAATTCAGGGTTTGGCTTCCATTCCTATTGAGGAAGCTGGAAACCATTTCAGAAATGCTCCTCAGATGTGCCTGTGGTTAAGACCTCTGAGCTCTGTTGAAAACTTTTGGAAGCTGGGCGCGGTGGCTCACGCCTGTAATCCCAGCACTTTGGGAGTCTGAGGTAGGTGAATCACAAGATCAGGTGTTCGAGACCAGCCTGGCCAACATGGTGAAACCCCGTCTCTCCTAAAAAGAGAACAAAATGAGCTGGGTGTAGTGGTGGGTGCCTGTAATCTCAGCTATTCGGCAGGCTGAGGCAAGAGAATAGCTTGAACCTGGGATGCGGAGGTTGCAGTGAGCCAAGATCACTCCACTGGACTCCAGCCTGGGCAAGAGAAAGAGACTGCGTCTCAAAAAAAAAAAAAAAAAAAAAAAAACAAGAACAAAAACAAAAAAACCCCACAACTTTTTGAGAGTTTGGAGACCATCAAGTATGGTATGCAGGAGTTAGAGTCTGGCCATTAATTTTCAATACCGCCCTTTCTACTTATCTGTATGGCAAGGGGTGAGACGTCCATCTTCTGAGACTCAGCACTCTCATCTGAGTTGATTTCTAGTTGATCCAATGGAAGTGAGCGACGATGAAACCGATCGTGGGTGCCCGCTGCGTGATCTCTGTGTGATGGATGCGTAAAGTCAAGGCAAAGTGAATTTTAGATACATTCGTTAATATTTTCAGCTTAAACTCCATACGGTTCAACGGAAATATCCCCTGACCTGAAGTTCTGGTTTCCCTGCATTCCAGACAGGACATTTTCTTTTGTCCTTATCTCAGTAAGTCCTGAGTATTGTGAGAGGAACAAGTGAGTCTCTTTTGTTTCTGATTCCCCAGAGCCTATATCTCGCTTGGCACATAGGAGATAGCCAAAGTCAACATCTATGTGAATTATTGAATTGACACTTCCTTGGTTCACAAAAATTGGCTGTCATCAGTGTGACGTCAGTGTGACAGAGCGTGTACTTTTTTTAAATTGTTTTTCGAGACAGAGTTTTGCTCTTTTTGCCCAGGCTGGAGTGCAGTGGTGTGATCTGGGCTCACTGTAGCCTCTGCCTCCCAGGTTCAAGCCATTCTCCTGCCTCAGCCTCCCGAGAAGCTGGGACTACAGGCACGCACCGCCATGCTGGGCGAAGTTTTTGTATTTTCAGTAGAGGCGGGGTTTCACCATGTTGGCCCGGATGGTCTTGATCTCCTGACCTCGTGATCCGCCCTCCTCGGCCTCCCAAAGTGCTGGGATCACAGGCGTGAGCCACCGCGTCCGGCCAAACGTTCTGATGAAAACGCTAAGTCCACCAAAGCTAAGGACAGGAGTTACAGCTTCCATGAATTTTAAAACAAGACCCACAGATTTGAGGAAGCAATTCCTCTCTTGAAGGTGAAAAGTCAGAAAACAGAATGATGAAATCAATAGGATCCAACCGGCCTGTGGAACTATTCTCTGCTTATGAACTATCAACTTTAATTTCATTTCCAGATGGCATGGTCTCAGCAGTTATACGGTGTTTACAGATGTTCTAAATCAAGGGAATTTGTATCAGTCTATTCGAATAAAATAAAATATTTGAGTTCTTAATTTCCTTTAATTAGGATAACCTTTTTCTTAAAGTGAAGAGAATGGTTTGATTACATAGTTTCCGTCGGTAAAGATAGGCTGTATTTTCTAGCAATGACGAATTTGTTATATAGGATGATCTCGTTCTTGGAACATTCTTGAATCTAGTGTCTCTGAGGCAGGTGTGTACAACAAGAAGTGAATCACACAGAAATCAATGATGAAAGCATTAGAAGACAATTGAGATTGTCAGAAGTGCAAACTATTGCTGAGTGTGGATTGCTCTGAAATCTGAAAACATGACTTGTGAATTGCTTCTATCCAAAATGCAGACACGATGCTGGGTGTCGGTTTACTTGTTTCCGATTTCTCAACCCTCTTTTCTAGGCAAAAGTTGTCCAATCTCTACAGACCCACAGAATCTAACAGATGTCTCTATATTCCTCCTCCTAGAAGCTCAGAGGATCCAGAATGGCAGCCGGTCCTCACTGGGCTGTGCCTGTCCATGTGCCTGGTCACGGTGCTGGGGAACCTGCTCATCATCCTGGCCGTCAGCCCTGACTCCCACCTCCACATCCCCATGTACTTCTTCCTCTCCAACCTGTCCCTGCCTGACATCGGTTTCACCTCCACCACGGTCCCCAAGATGATTGTGGACATCCAGTCTCACAGCAGAGTCATCTCCTACGCAGGCTGCCTGACTCAGATGTCTCTCTTTGCCATTTTTGGAGGCATGGAAGAGAGACATGCTCCTGAGTGTGATAGCCTATGAGCGGTTTGTAGCCATCTGTCACCCTCTATATCATTCAGCCATCATGAACCCATGTTTCTGTGGCTTTCTAGTTTTGTTGTCTTTTTTTTTTCTCAGTCTTTTAGACGCCCAGCTGCACAACTTGATTGCCTTACAAAGGACCTGCTTCAAGGATGTGGAAATTCCTAATTTCTTCTGTGACCCTTCTCAACTCCCCATCTTGCATATTGTGGCACCTTCACCAATAACATAATCATGTATTTCCCTGCCGCCATATTTGGTTTTCTTCCCATCTCGGGGACCCTTTTCTCTTACAATAAAATTGTTTTCTCCATTCTAAGGGTTTCATCATCAGGTGGGAAGTATAAGGCCTTCTCCACCTGTGGGTCTCACCTGTCAGTTGTTTGCTGATTTTATGGAACAGGCATTGGAGGCTACCTCGGTTCAGATGTGTCATCTTCCCCGAGAAAGGCTGCAGTGGCCTCAGTGATGTACACGGTGGTCATCCCCATGCCGAACCCCTTCATCTACAGCCTGAGAAACAGGGATATGAAAAGTGTCCTGCAGCGGCCACATGGCAGCACGATCTCATCTCAATATCTTCTTATTTGTTCCATTCCTTTTGTAGTGTGGGTTAAAAAAGGCAGCAAGGTCAAATAAGAATGAAGTCACAGGGTGAACACCCACTGTGATATTAGGAGTAATACCTCCCTAGGATATAGAATATACTGTCACAGAGTATACACACATGGGGTACACCCACTGTGATATTAGAAGCAATATCTCCCTAAAGTACGATGAAAAATATCACAGGGTGTGCACACTGTGTGATATGAGGAGTAATATTTACCCTGGATATTACGACTAACATCAAGGGTGTACACACCAGGGGTACACGCACTGTGATATCAGGAGTTGTATCTCCCTAGGATATTATGAATACTGTCACAGGGTATACACTATGTGTGTACATCCACTGTGATATTTGAAGTAATATCTCTCTATGAGATTATAAATAACATCAAAGCTTGTACAAGCCTGTGACTTATTAGGAGTAACATTCTTCTAGGGTATTGCAGATCACGCCACAACGTGTACACCTCCTGTGACGTTTTGTACACTCTTTGTGACATTAAAAGAAACATCCCCCTAGGATATTATGAATAATAAAACAGGAGGGGTACACACAAGGTGTACACCACCTGTGTCATCAGGAGTAACAATTCCCTAGGATATTACGAATAATATCACAGCAGGTGTACACACATGGTGTACACCCCATGTGACATTCGGAAGAGCATGCCCCTAGGATATTAGGAATAGTATCACTGGGGTTGAATACGCATTTTTAATGCGTAATGTCACCCCCGGTGACATTAAAAATAACATCCCCCTTGGATATTACGAATAATATGACAGGGAGTACACCCCATGTGACATGAGGAGTAACACCCCCAAAGGATATAACGAATAATATCAGAGGGTGTACATGCACTGTGACCTTAGTAGTAACATCTCTTTAGGATATTACAAATAGTATCACAGGGTGTACAGGCATTGTGACATTAGTAGTAACATCCCGCTGGGATGACGAGTCACATCACAGGGTGTACACCTCCGTGACAATAGTATCAACATTCCCCTAGAATACTATGAATAATATCAAAGGAGGTACAGCCCCTGTGATTTACGAGTAACATGTCTATAGAATGTTACAACTCATATCACTGTGTGACTCTGTGTACACCCCATGTGACTTTAGGAGTAACATCCCACAAAGCTATGATGAAAAATATCACAGGGTGAACACCCCCTGTGACCTGAGGAATAACATAGTTTTAGGATATTGTGAATGATTTGACAAGATGTACACACCCTGTGACGTTAGGAGCAACATCCGTCTAGGATGTTAGGAAGAATATCACACAGAACACACCTCCTGTGACATTAGGATATGACAAATAATATAACAAAGTGTACATGCATCGTGACATGAGTGCTAATATCCCTCTGGTACACTATGAGTAATATCACAGGGTGTACCTCCCTGTGATGTTAGGAGTAACATCCCCCTAGAATAGTAAGAATACTAACACGGGGTGTACACCACCTGTGACATGAGGAGTATCATCTCGCTAGAATATTACAAATAATGTCACAGGGTGTTATCGTCTGTGCCAATAGGAGTATAGACCCCTGGGAAATTATGAATACTATCACAGGCTGTACAGCCCTGTGACATTAGGAGTAATATCTTTCTAGAATATCACAAATAATATCACAATGTGTACACCCCATGTGTCATTAAAAGTCAAATTGCCCTAGGATATTATGAAATAGAACACAGGGAGTACACCCCGTGTGACATTAGAAGTAACATCCCCCGAGGATATAACGAATAAGATCAGAGAATGTACCCGCATTGGGACATCAGTAGTAACATCTCTTCAAGACAATATGAATAATATCAAAGGGTGTACACGCATTGAGAAATGAGTAGTGAACTCCCGCTAGGATATTAGGAATTTGATAACAGGATCTACACGCCCTGTGACATTAGCAGTAACGTTTTCCTAGATTACGAAGAATATGAAAGGGTGTACAGGACCTGTGAATTACGAGCAGCATTTCCATAGCATATTGCACGTAGCATCACTGTGTGAACACGCCGTGTGACGTTAGGGGTAACACCCCACAAAATTATAAAGAATAGTTTCACAAGGTGTGCACCCTCTGTGACATTAAAAGTAACATTTCCCTAGAATATGACAAAAATATCACAGAGTGTACACCCTCTGTGATATGAGGAGTGACATCTTATGAGGATAATAAGAGTAATTGGACAAGGCGTACAAACCCTGTGACATAAGGGGTGACATCCCTCTAGGACATTATGGATAATATCAAAAGGAACATACCCCGTGTGACAATAAATGCAACCTCCCTTTAGGAGAATAAGAATAACACCACAAGGTGTACACACAATGTGACATTATGATTAAGGTAAAGCTAGAATATTGGGAATAACATCACAGTGTACAGAGTCCTGTGACATCAGGTCTAACATTCCCCTACAAAATTACGAATAATATTGAAGGGTGTATACCCCTGCGACTTTATCAGCCGCATCTTGCTAGAATATGGAAGATAATGTCCCAGGGAGTGAACCGAGGGTGGCAGCATAGAAAGGATCCCAGGAAAAATCAGGGAGTAATATCACCCCGCTCTCCCCGCTGGATATTACGATCCACATCGCAGGAGGGCGGTGGGCCACCGAGATGCGGGGAGTAATATCGCACCCCACTCTCCGCCTAGATATTCCGAGCCACATCGCAGGGGCGCGGGCGACCAGCGATGCGGGGAGTAATATCACCCGCCCATCCCCCGTGGATATTACGATCCACGACTCATGGGGGCGGGAGCCCACGCGATTCGGGGAGTAAAATCATCCCCCACTCCAACCCTGGATATGAAGATCCACATCGCCGAGGGGCGGGCGCCCGCCCACATAAGGGGAGTAATATCAACCCCCACTCCCCACCGGATATGACGAACCACATCGCAGGGGGGCCGACGCCCCCCTCCTTGCGGGGAGTAATATCACCCCAATCTCCCACCCTGGATATGACGATCCACATTGCAGGGGGGCGGGCGCACTCCGCGATACGAGGAGTCATATCACCACCCTCTCGACTCCGGGGTATGACGACCCCCATCGCAGGGGGGCGAGGCGCCCCCCGCGATGCGGGGAGTAAAGAGCCAGCCCCTCTTGCCCCCCTGGCTCTTAGGATCCGCGGTGGACTCACAGCCTGTTTATCATATTGTGAGTAATATCATCTTCCCCTCTGCACATTATGAACTGTTTCACAGACCTGTGTACACCGAGGGTGTACAGAAGTTGTACACTCGTGTGCATTGGGAGTCATATCATCCTCTTCCTCCCTGAATATTTGGAACAGTATCACAGGGGTGTTTCTACTCCCTTGGATATCGGGTGTCATGTCCTCCTCTCCCACGTTGAAATTAGAAACAATATCATTGGGGGCTTGTCCACCTTCTGTGATATTGAAAGTAATATTATCCTCTTCCCTCCGGGATCATGCGAACAATATCCTTGGGGGTGTCCACTCTTTGCCATATATGTAGTCATATCACCCCCTCTACCTTGGAATATTTTTAAGGACCATCTCACACGGGGGTGTACACTTCCTGCGATGTTGGGAGTAATAGCATTCTCTTCTTCCGTGAATATTAGGAGCAAAGTCACCTGGTGGATGCACACACAGTGCTATATTGAATGTAACGTCATACTCCACCCCCGCAGATTATATTCAGATCAATATCACCGGCTGGGTGTACACCTACTGCGATTTTGAACGTAATATCATGCTCTCTCCCTCTCTGGACATTAGGAGCAATATCGCAGGTGGGTGTACACCCACTGAGGTATTAGGGCGTAATATTAGTATGAATTATTCCTCATTTATTATTAACATGAATATGAATGACCGATATTAATATTAATATTAAGAAATAATTGCTAATAAAATGTTTTCAGATTATTAATATTAATATCAATTATTAGGAGCTAATATTACCGTTTTCTAATGAATAAGATCAATATCAGTTATTAGTAGCAGGCGTCATTAATCATTAATATTAATCATGTATTGTTATCGTTAGTATAACTATTTAATATTAGTTATGATTATTATCGGTATTGATTTTAAAAATTATATTATGGGTTTTTAATATTGATAATTATCAGTGTCAATTAATAATTGAGATTATTAATTGCGGTAAGTCGCATTGCTTCATTGCACCCCTCCCTCGGCAGCTCGTTTAGGACCCTAAACGGGGACACAAATGCCCCTGAGAGAGCAGCGGTAGACTGGGATAGATGAGGATGGTCACGTGGTGGAGAGGCGTGTTTTTGGGTACCAGCCCTTCACCTGCGTCGACCTTCTCAACTGGAAAAACAATACACCGCCCTCTACCCAAAAGCCACAAGCCCTAATTGATTTGCTCCAAGCTGTTATCCAGACCCAAAACCACACCTGGGCTGATTGGCACCAGTTGCTCATGTTCCTCTTTAACAGCGAAGAAAGGCGGAGAGTCCTCCAAGCAGCAACTAAGTGGCTAGAGGAACATGCACCAGCTGATTATCAAAATCCCCAAGAGTATGGAAGGACCCAGTTGCCAGGAACCGACCCCCAGTTGGACCCACATGGAAGAGAGGATATGCAAAGGCTAAACCGACACAAGGAAGCTCTCTTGGAAGGATTAATGAGGGGAGCTCAGAAGGCCACAAACGTTAACAAGCTCTCTGAGGTCATTCAGGGAAAAGAAGAAAGTCCAGCACAATTCTACGAGAGACTGTGGGAGGCCTATCGTAGGTATACTCCCTTTGATCCCGATAGCCCTGAAATCAGCGCGTGATTCACATGGCTTTAGTCCGTCAAAGTGCAGAAGACATGAAAAGAAAACTAGACAAACAGGCTGGGCTTGAAGGGATGAATCCATCCCAATTACTAGAAATATCTAGCCAGGTGTTTGTAAACAGGGATGCAGTAAGCCGTAAGGAAAACGGCAAAGAGAATGGAGGTCAGGCCCGGCGACACGCCTACCTGTTTGTCAGCTGCAGCAATCAGAGGGGCCCCCGCAAAGAGGCAAGGGAAGGGGGGCCCTGGGAAAGAAACTCAGCTTGGCTGTCAGAGTTTGCAGCGTAACCAGTGTGCTCATTGTAAAGAAATAGGACAGTGGAAGAAAAAATGCCCTGAGCTCAAAAGAAAACAAGGTGACTCAGAGCAGGAGGCCCCGGAAAAGGAGGAAGGGGCCCTGCTCAACCTGGCAGAAGGGTTATTGGACTGAGGGAGACCGGGCTCAAGCGTCCCCAAAGAGCCTCTGGTCAGAATGACAATCGGGGGTGGAGACATTGACTTTCTTGTAGATAGCGGTGCTGAACATTCGCTAGTAACTGCCCCGGTCGCCCCCTTATCCAAAAAGACTGTTGACGTCATCGGAGCCACGGGGGTTTCCGCAAAGCAAGCTTTCTGCTCGCCTCGGACTTGTACTGTAGGAGGACATAAAGTCATTCATCAGTTTTGGTACATGCCTGACTGTCCCTTGACCTTTTCGCGAAGGGACTTGCTCAGCAAGCTGAGAACCACTATCTGTTTGACAGAGCATGGCTCTTCGTTGCTAAGATTACCCAGAACGGGAGTCATTATGACCCTTATGGTCCCCCAAGAGGAGGAATGGAGACTTTTCTGAACGGAGCCGAGCCAAGAGAGAAGACCAGCACTGGCTAAGCGGTGGCCAAGAGTACGGGCAGAAGACAACCCTCCGGGATTTGCCAGTTAATACTGGGGCCCAGCCGGTGAGGCAAAAACAGGAGCCGGTCCCCAGAGAAGCCCTTCAAGGTATCCAGGTCCGTCTCAAGCACCTAAGAACTTTTGGAATGATTGTTCCTTGTCAGTCTCCATGGAACACTCCCCTCCTGCCTGTTCCCAAGCCACGGACCAAGGACTACCAGCTGGTACAGGATTTGCGCTTGCTTCATCAAGCTACACTGACTTTCCATCCAACAGTACCTAACCCGTCCACATTGTTGGGGTTGCCGCCAGCTGAGGACAGCTGGTTCACCTGCTTGGACCTGAAAGACGTTTTCTTTGCTATCAGATTAGCCCCTGAGAGGCAGAAGCTGTTTGCCTTTCAGTGGGCAGATCCGGAGTCAGGTGTCACTACTCAGTACACTTGGACCGGTCTCCCCCATGAGTTCAAGAACTTCCCCACCATCCTCGGGGACGCGTGGGCTCGAGACCTCCAGAAGTTTCCCAGCAGAGACCTAGGCTGCGTGTTGCTCCAGTAGGTTGATGACCTTCTGCTGGGACACCCCACGGCAGTCGGGTGTGCCAAGGGAATAGATGCCCTACACCGGCACCTGGAGGACTGTGGGTAAAAGGTGTCCAAGAAGAAAGCTCAGATCTGCCGACAGCAGGTAGGTTACTTGGGATTGACTATCCGACAGGGGTCGGAACGCAACCTGGGATCAGAAAGAAAGCAGATCATTTGCCATCTAGCGGAGCCTAAGGGCAGAAGGTAGGTAAGAGAATTCTTAGGAGCTGTGGGCTTTTGTAGACTGTGGATCCCAAAGTTTGCAGAATTAGCCAGCCTTTGTATGAGGTTACCAAGGGGGCGGGGACCGGGAACTTTTGGAATGCGGATCCCAACAACAGCAAGTCTTTCATGAGTTAAAGGAAAAACTTCTGGCTGCCCCAGCCCTGGGGCTACCCGATCTGACAAAGCCTTTTCCATTGTATGCATCAGAGAGAGAAAAGATGGCAGCTGGACTTTGATCCTAAACTGTGGGTCCCTGGCCGAGGCCGGTGGCCTACCTCTCTCAACAACTAGACGGGGTTTCTAAAGGATGGCCCCCCTGTTGGAAGGCCTTGGCAGCAACTGCCCTGCCAGTACAAGAAGCAAATAAGCTGACTCTTGGGCAAAACTTGAACATAAAGGCCTCCCGTGCTGTGGTGACTTTAATGAACACTAAAGGACATCATTGGCTAACGAAAGCCAGACTCACCAAGGACGAAACTTTGCTCTGTGAAAGTCCCCATATAACCATTGAAGTTTGTAACACCCTACACCCCGCCACCTTGCTGCAGGTATCAGAGAGCCCTGTCGAGCCTGATTGTGTAGAAGTGTTGGACTCAATTGACTCTAGCAGACCTGACTTCCGGGACCAGCCTTGGGCATCAGTAGACTGGGAACGATATGTGGATGGGAGCAGCTTCTTCAACCCCCAAGGAGAGAGAGGTGCAGGGTATGCAGTGATAACCCTGGGCACTGTTGTTGAAGCCAGATCATTGCCCCAGGCCACTTCAGCCCAGAAAGCTGAACTCATTGCTTTCATTCGGGCCTTAGAACTCAGTGAGGGTGAGACTGTCAACATTTACACTGATTCTCGGTATGTCTTTTTAACCCTTCAAGTGCATGTAGCGTGATAGAAAGAAAAGGGCCTATTGAACTCTGGGGGAAAAGACAGAAAATATCAACAAGAAATCTTCCAATGATTAGAAGCAGTATGGAGACCCCACAAGGTGGCAGTTAAGCATTGCAGAGGACACCAGCGAGCTTCCACCTTGCTGGGTTTGGGGAATTCCGGCGCTGACTCAGAGGCTCGAAAAGCAGCATCTGCCCCCTTCTGGGCATCAGTGCTCCCTCAAGCACCTGATCTTGGACCTGCTTCTTCTAAAGAAGAAAAGGACTGTCTCCAGGTAGAGGGAAGGACAAGTGATGGAGGAAGGATGGATTCGGTTACCACATGGGAGAGAAGCTGTGCCACAGCTGCTAGGAGCTGCAGTTGTACTGGCTGTGCAAGAAACCACCCATCGAGGTCAGGAGTCACTGGAAAAGTTGTTAGGCCGGTATTTCTACATCTCGCCTTTGTCAGCCCTTGCCAAAACTGTGAGGCAGCGGTGTGTTACCTGCCGACAGCATGATGCGGGGCAAGGTGCAGCCGTTCCGCCCGGCATACGAGCTTATGGAGCAGCCCCCTTTGAAGGTCTCCAGGTGGACTTCACAGAGACGCCCAAGTGTGGAGGTAACAAGTATGTACTAGTTCTTGGGCGTACCTGCTCTGGGTGGGTGGAGGCCTATCCAACATGAACTGAGAAAGCTCATGAAGTAACCCCTGTGCTTCTTCGAGATGTGATTCCTAGATTTCGACCGCCCTTACGGATCGGCTCAGACAACGGGCCTGTGTTTTTGGCTGCCTTGGTACAGAAGACGGCAAAGGTATTGGGGATCACATGGAAACTGCATGCCGCCTACCGGCCTCAGAGTTCCGGAAAGGTGGAGCGGATGAATCGGACTTTCAAAAACAGTACTATTGTCTTTCCCGCTGGATATGTAAAACAACACCACAAGGGGCGTCAAACCACCTGCTAAATTTGAGGGAATATTATCCTCTGCCCCCCTCCCCCGGCCCCGGACATTAGAGACAATAACACAGGGGTGATGTACACCCACTGCTTTATTGGGAGTAATATCATCCTCTCCCTTCTTGGATATTAGGAACAATATCACACTGTGCGTGTACGCCTGTCGCGAAATTCAATGGAATGTCATCCTGCGCCTGCCTGGATATGACGAACAATATCACGGGGGATGTACAACTTCTGAGATACTGGGAGTGATACCACCCTCTCCCCTCTGGAAGTTAGGGACAATATCACAGGGGTAGTGTACAGCCTCTGGGATGTTGGGACTAATATCATCCTCCCGCCCACTGGATATTAAAAACCATATCACAAGGGGCGTGTACACACACTTCGATATTGGTATGAATACCATCCTCTCCCTCTTTGGATATTCGGTGCCATATTTCAGGTGGGGTATACACCACCTACAATATTGGCAGTAATATGATTTTCTCCCCCCCCTGGATATCAGAAACAATATCACAGGGGGTTGTGAACAATCCCTGCGATATTTGGAGTAATATCATCGTCTCCCCTCATGATTATTAAGAACAACATCGTAGGGGTGGGGGATGTACACCCCCTTTCATATTTGATATCATCCTCTTCCCCCCTGGATATTAGGAACAATATCAGGAAGGGATGTACAGACTCTGCAACCTTTGCGGTCATAGAATTGTCTGTCCCCTAGATATTAGGAAAAAATGTCACTGGGGATGTGAACAGCCCTGTGATATTGAGAGTAGTATCATCCTGTCCCCCCTTGCATATTGGGAACAACATCACAGGTGGGGTGTACTGCCTCTGTGATATTGGGAGTGAAGTTTTCCTCTCTTCCCCTGGACATTAGGAAGGGTATCAGAGGGGGAGTGTGTACATTCCCTGCGTTATTCAACGTAACCTTATCCCCTCCCTCCCAGGGTATTCAGAACAATATTACAGGAGGGGTGTACACCCTCTGCGATATTGAGAGTCATATCATCCTCTTTCACTCTGGATGTTAGGAACAATATCACAGAGTTGCGTACACCCCCTGCGATATTGGGAGTCATATCATCCTCTCTCCCTGTGGATATTAGGAAGAGTATCACAGAGCTGTGGAAACCCCCTGCGGTACTGGGAGTAATATCATCCTCTCTCCCTCTGAATATAGGAAGATTTTCACAAGGGTGTGTACACCCCCTGCGATATTGGGAGTAAGATCATCCTCTCCACCCAGGAAATGACTAACAAGGTCACGGGGGAGTGTGCTTCCCCTGCGATATTGGCAGTAATGTCATCCTCCCCAAACCTGGATGTTAGCAACGAGATCACAGAGGGGGTGTACACACCCTGCGACATTGGAAGTAATATGATCCTCTCCCCACCTGGATACTGGGAAAGATAGCACAGCGCGGGTATACGTTTCCTACGCTGTTGGGAGTAACATCATTCTTTTCCTTTCTGGATATTAGGAAGAATATCACAGGGGTACTGTACAATTACTTCGATATTGGGAGTAATATCATCCTCTATTTTCCCGGATATTGGGCACAAAAACACAAAAGGTTGTACAACCCCTGTGATATTGAGAGTAATAACATACTCTCCTTCCCTGGATGTTAGAAAACAATATCATCAGGGCTGAACACCCCCCGCGATAATGGGAGTCATGTTTACTCTTTCACAGGCCATTTGGAACAATATCACAGGGGGCGTTTACAAACAGGGGTGGTGTACACCCCCTGTTATATTGGGAGTAACATCATTCTCTCCACCTCCGGATATTAAGAACAATATCCCGGCGGGAGGTGGTACACCCCCAGTGATATTACGAATAATGTCATCCTCTCCTTCCCTGGATATTAGGAACAATATCACAGGGGGGTGTACACCTTCTGTGATATGGGAAGCAATATCATCCTCTCCCCCGCTGGATAATAGAAAAAAAATCACTCACAGTGTACACCCACTGTGATATGAGGAGTAATATCTTCCTAGGGTATTACAAATAATTTCACAGTCTGTACACACATGGTGTACACTCACTGTGATATTAGGAGTAATATCTACCTAGTAGATAACAAATAACATCGCAGGGTGTACACCCACTTTGATATTAGCTGTAATATTTTTCAAAGTTGTTACAAATAAGATCACAGGGTGTACAAACATGGTGTACACTCACTGTGATATCAGGAGTCGTATCTCTGTAATATATTATGAATAATATCACAGGTTGTACGTCCACTGTATTATTAGGAGTAATATCTCTGTAGGATATTACAATTAATATCACAGGGTGTAGAGCCACCGTGATATTAGGAGCAATATCTTTCTAGGATATTACAAATAATATCACAGGGTGTACGCCCACTCTACTGTCAGGAGCAATATCTCCCTAGGATATCAAAAATCCTATCACATGTTGTCCAATCTCTGCCTTCCATGTTCTAAGGGATTCTCCTGCTTCAGCCTCCCGAGTAGCTGGGGTTACCCGCCACCACGCCTGGCTAAATTTTTTTTATTTTCACTCGAAACGGGGTTTCACCACGTTGGCCAGGCTGGTCTGGAACTCGTGATCTCAGGTGATCCATCAGACTCGGCCACCCAAAGTGCTGGGATTACAGTTGTGAGCCATGGTGCTGGGCCAAGAGTTAGAGATTCAATTCATTTGGAAACACAGCTCCCATTTTTAAGTGTGCATGTACTTTTATGAAGAAGTGATGTCAGAAAACCGAAGGATGATAATAAATATGAAAAGTAACAGGTATGTGAAAAGGTGTTCCCATTGAGAACTATAAGGTTCGATTTCGTTTTCAGATAATGGGGTCGTAGCTCTCGTGTCGTCCTTTTACATATTCTACATCAATGGAAGTTGTAGCACGGTGTCAGAATAAAGTAGAGTGTATTTCACGGCTTCTTAATTTCTTTCAATTAGACTGAGATCTTTTTCTGAAAGAGAGAAGGATATTTTCATTGCATTGTGTTTTTTCTGAAAAGAGTAGGCCGTATTTTACGGAGATCACGGATTTGTTATATACGACGTTTTGGTCTTCTGATATTCTTCAGTGGATTTTCTCTAAAGTAGTATGTACAGAAAGCCTCGTATAGCTAAAAAGTAAATCACGTAAAAATTCTGAGATTTTTGGAATTGTCACAACTGAGAAACATTGCTGGTGGTGTATGGTCTGCAAGTGTAAAGATGTTCCTTGTGAATTGCTTGCATCCAACATTAAGGGCTGGTTTTTACCTTTTATTTTCCAATCCTCTTTCCTTCTCAAGGTGTCCAAGACACACAGAGCCACGGAATCTCACAGGTGTCTGAGAATTCCTCCTCCTGGGACTCTCAGAGGATCCAGAACTGCAGCCTGTCCTCGCTTTGCTGTCCCTGTCCCTGTCCCTGTCCTTGTATCTGGTCATGGTTCTGAGGAACCTGCTCAGCATCCTGGCTGTCAGCTCTGACTCCCCCCTCCATACCCCCATGTACTTCTTCCTCTCCAACCTGTGCTGGGCTGACATCGGGTTCACTTCGGCCACGGTTCCCAAGGTGACTGTGGACATGCAGTCGCATAGCAGAGTCATCTCTCATGCGGGCTGCCTGACACAGATGTCTTTCTTGGTCCTTTTTTGCATGTATAGAATGCATGCTCCTGACTGTGATGGCCTATGACGGCTTTGTAGCCATCTGTCTCCCTCTGCACTACCCAGTCATCATGAATCCTCACCTCTGTGTCTTCTTCGTTTTGGTGTCCTTTTTCCTTAGCCTGTTGGATTCCCAGCTGCACGGTTGGATTGTGTGACAATTCACCATCATCAAGAATGTGGAAATCTCTCATTTTGTCTGTGACCCCTCTCAACTTCTCAACTCTGGGAGGCTGAGTCGCTGGGATCACTTGAGTCCAGGAGTTCGAGACCCGCTTGGCCAACATGGTGAAACCCCGTCTCTACGGAAAAAACAAACTATTAGTCAGGCTTGGTGACGCCTGCCTGTAGTCTCAGCTATTCGCAGGGCCGAGGCCCAAGAAGCGCTTGAACTCAGGAGGCGGAGCTTGCAGTGAGCCCGGATTGTGCCTGTGTACTCCAACCTGGGCAACAGAAAGAGACTCCATCATACACCTACATACAAAAGGAATCTGAGTAAGGTGGAAAGTATAAAGGAGGTTAGCAGACGCTACGAAGAAAAGGGATGGGATGGGGAATGAAGACAAGTGGATAATTGGGTCCTGAAATACAGAAAGATGGAATAAGTGAGTTCTAGTGTTTGATAGTACAGTATGAAAATTTTACTTCACAAGAATTTCTTGCACAATTCCAGATGGTTTGGTAAGAAACTTCCTAACTTTCTCATTATGCTGGTTTTTAAGGTCTTCTCTTTCTGCTCTTGAAATCATGCTGGTTTTTTGTTTTTTGTTTTGAGATGGAGTTTCGCTCTTGTTGCCCAGGCTGAAGTGTGATGGTGCAATCTTGGCTCACCAGATCCTCTGCCTCCTGGGTTCAAGCGATTCTTCTGCCTCCACCTCCCGAGTAGCTGGGATTACAGGCATGCGCCAGCACGCCCAGCTAATGTTGTATTTCATGGTTAAAAAATGCTGCAAGATGAAATAAGAATTATATCACAGGGTGAAGACCCACTGTGATATTAGAATTAATACCTCCCTAGGATATAAAATATACTGTCACAGAGTATACACACATGGGGTACACCCACTGTGATATTAGAAGCAATATCTCCCTAAAGTATGATGAAAAATATCACAGGGTGTGCACACTGTGTGATATGAGGAGTAATATTTACCCTGGATATTAAGACTAATATCAAGGGTGTACACACCCGGGGTACACGCACTGTGATATCAGGAGTTGTATCTCCCTAGGATATTATGAATACTATCACAGGGTATACACTATGTGTGTACATCCACTGTGATATTTGAATTAATATCTCTCTAGGGGATTACAAATAATAACAAAGCATGTACACCCCTGTGACATATTAGGAGTAACATCCTCCTAGGGTATTGCAGATCACGTCACAAGGTGTACACCTTCTGTGACATTTTGTACACTCTTTGTGACATTCAAACAAACATCCTCCTAGGCTATTATGAATAATATCACAGGTGGTGTACACACACGATGTACACCGCCTCACCCCGTGTGACATTAGGGAGATCATGCCCCTAGGATATTAGGAATAGTATCACAAGCATTGAATACGTATGACATACACTCCCGGTGACATTAAAAATAACATCTCCCTTGGATATTACGACTAATATGATGGAGTACATCCCATATGACATTAGGAGTAACACCCCCAAGGATATAACCGATCATATCAGAGGGTGTACATGCATTGTGACCTTACTAGTAACGTCCCTTTAGGATATTACAAATAATATCACAGGGTGTACAGGCATTGTGACATTAGTAGTAACATCCCGCCAGGATATGACGAGTCATATCACAGGGTGTATACCCCCGTGACCATAGTAGCAACATTTCCCTAGAATATTACGAATAACATCCCAGGATGTACGGCCCCAGTGATTTATGAGTAACATATCTCTAGAATATTACAACTCCTATCACTGTGTGACTCTGTGTACACCCCGTGTGACATTAGAAGTAACATCCCCCGAGGAAATAACGAATAATGTCAGAGAATGTACCTGCATTGGGACATCAGTAGTAACATCTCTTCAAGACAATACGAATAATATCAAAGGGTGTACACGCATTGTGAAATGAGTAGTGAACTCCCGCTAGGATATTAGGAATTTCATGACAGGGTCTACACGCCCTGTGACATTAGCAGTAATGTTTTCCTGGAATATTATGAAGAATATTGAAGCGTGTACAGGACCTGTGAATTACGAGTAACATTTCTATAGAATATTGCACATACCATCACTGTGTGTCCACCCCGTGTGACATCAGGGGTAACATCCCACAAAATTATAACGAATAATTTCACAAGGTGTACAACCTCTGTGACATTAAAAGTCACATTTCCCTAGAATAGGACGATAATATCACAGAGTGTACACCCTCTGTGATAAGAGGAGTGACATCTTACAAGGATCATACGAGTAATTTGACAAGGTGTACAAACCCTGTGACATAAGAGGTGACATCCCTCTAGGATATTATGAATAATATCAAAGGGAAACTTCCCCGTGTGACAATAAAAGTAACCTCCCCTTAGGAGAAGAAGAATAAGACCACAAGGTGTACACACATTGTGACATTCTTCTTAATGTCCCGCTAGGATACTGTGAATAACATCTCAGTGTGTAGAGTCCTGTGACAACATGATTAACATTCCCCTACAATATTACGAATAATATCGCAGGGTGTATACCCCGGTGACTTCAGTAGCGGCATGTTGCTAGAAAATGGAAAATAATGTCCCAGGATGTCAACCAAGGGTGGTAGTAGACGAAATCTCCTCGGAAAAATCGGGGAGTAATATCACCCCCCTCTCCCACCCTGGATATTACGATCCACATCGCAGGGGGGTGGGCTCCCCCCACGATGCGGGGAGTAATAGCACCCCCCTCTCCCCGCCTGGATATGACGATCCACCGTGGTCACACAGCGTGTTGACGGTATTGTCAATAATATCTTTTCCGCCTCTGGAAATTACCAACTATATCATACACGGGTGTACATCCTCTGCACTCTTTGCCGTAATAGCATCCTCTTGCCCCTGGATATTAAGAACAATATCTCGGGAGTGTTTATACCCCCAGCAGCATTGGGTGTAGTATCATCCTCTCCCACGTTGACATTAGGAACAATATCACTGGGGGCATGTCCACCCCATGCGATATTGAAAGTAACATCATCCTCTTCTCTCCTGGATCATGGGAACAATATCCCTGGGGTGGTGCACGCTTTCTGTGCTATTGGGAGGAGGGTCAACCTCTCCCCCTTGGAATATTAAGGACCGTATCACTGGGGGGATATACACACCCTGCGCTATTAAGAAGAATATTATCCTCCCCCGCCCTGCACATTACAAAAAATATCACAGAGTGGGTGTACACCTCCTGCGATGGGGGCGTGGTATCATCTTCTCTTCTTCTGGATAATAGCAGCAATAGTACACGGGTTTGTACACTTTCTGTGATATTGGGAGTAATATCAACCTCTCCACCTTTGAATATTAAGAACAATAGCACAGACTGGATGTACACCCCCTGCGATATTGGGAGTCATATCAGCCTCTCCTCTCCATGGATATTAGGAAGAATATCCCAGGATGGGTGTACACCTCCTGCTGTATGGGGAGTCATATCGTCCTCTCCCTTCCTGGCTGCTAGGAAGAATATCAGAGGGTGGGTGTACACAGCCTGCGATATTGCGAGTAATATCACCCTCTCCCCCTCTGGATATTAGGAACGATGTCACAGAAGGGTTGTGCACTTCCTGCGATACTGGGAGTAATAGCATTCTCTTCTTCCGTGAATATTAGGAGGAATATCACCGGGTGGATGCACACCCAGTGCTATCTTGGGAGTAACTTCATACGCCACCCCCTGGAGATGATATTCGGATCAATATCACCGGGTGGGTGTACAGCTACTGCGATATTAAACGTAATATCATGCTCTCTCCCTCCCTGAACATTAGGAGCAATATCACAGGTGGGTGTACACCCACTGGGGTATTAGGCATAATATTCATATTAATTCTTCCTCATTTATTATTAACAGGAATATCTATTACCAATATTAATATTAATATTAAGAAATAATTGCTCATAAAAAGTGCTCAGATTAACATTAACATTAATTATTAGGAGCTAATATGACTGTTTTCTAATGAATAAGATCAATATCACTTATTAATACCAGGCATCATTAATCGTTAATATTAATCATTTATTGTTATCGTGAGTATAACTCTTTAATATGAATTTTCATTATTATCTGTATTGATTTTAAGAATTATATGATCAGTTGTTAATATTGATAATTATTAGTATCAATTAACAATTGATATTATTAATTGCGGTAACATTGCGTCATTCCACCCCTCCCTTGGCAGCTCGTCTACGACCCAAAACGGGGATCCAAATGCCCCTGAGAGAGCAGCGGTATACTGGGATAGAGGAGGATGGTCACGTGGTGGAGAGGCTGTTTTTGTGTACCAGCCCTTCACCTCTGCTGACCTTCTCAACTGGGAAAACAATACCCCGTCCCAGAAGGAAAAGCCACAAGCCCTAATTGATTTGCTCCAAACTGTTATCCAGACCCACAACCACACCTGGGCTGATTGCCACCAGTTGCTCATGTTCCTCTTTAACAGAGATGAAAGGCAAAGAGTCCTCCAAGCAGCAACTAAGTGGCTAGAGGAACATGCACCAGCTGATTATCAAAACCCCCAAGAGTATGGAAGGACCCAGGTACCACGAACCGACCACCAGTTGGACCCACATGAAAGAGAGGATATGCAAAGGCTAAACTGAGGCAGGGAAGCTCTCTTGGAAGGATTAATGAGGGGAGCTCAGAAGGCCACAAATGTTAACAAGGTCTCTGAGGTCATTCAGGAAAAAGAAGAAAGTCCAGCACAATTATACGAGAGACTGTGTGAGGCCTATCATATGTATACTCCCCTCGATCCCGATAACCCTGAAAATCAGCGCATGATTCACATGGCTTTAATCCATCAAAGCGCGGAAGACCTTAGAAGAAAACTGCAGAAGCAGGCTGGGCTTGCAGGGGTGAATACATCACAATGATGAGAAAGAGCTAAGCAGGTGTTTGTAAACAGGGATGCAGTAAGCCGCGAGGAAAAGCGCAAAGAGAATGGAGGTCAGGCCCGGGGAAACGCCGACCTGTTTGTTAGCTGCAGCAATCAGAGGGGTCCCCCCAAAGAAGCAAGGGAAGGGGGGCCCTGGGAAAGAAACTCAGCTTGGCTGTCAGAGTTTGCAGTGTAACCAGTGTGCTTATTGGAAAGAAATAGGACATTGGAAGAACAAATGCCCTCAGCTCAAAAGAAAACAAGATGACTCAGAACAGGAGGCCCTGGACTAGGAGGAAGGGGCCCGGCTCAACCTCGCAGAAGGGTTATTGGACTGAGGGAGACCGGGCTCAAGCGTCCCCAAAGAGCCTCTGGTCAGAATGACTGTCGGGGGTAGAGACATTGATTTTCCTGTAGATACCGGTGCTGAACATTCGCTAGTAACCGCCCCGGTCGCCCCCTTATCCAAAAAGACTCTTGACATCACCGGAGCCACGGGGGTTTCCGCAAAGCAAGCTTTCTGCTCGCCTCGGACTTGTACTGTAGGAGGACATCAAGTCATTCATCAGTTTTTGTACATGCCAGACCGTCCCTTGACCTTGCTGGGAAGGGACTTGCTCAGCAAGCTGAGAGCCAGTCTCTCTTTGACAGAACACAGCTCTTTGCTGCTAAAGTTACCCACCACGGGAGTCATTATGACCCTTACAGTCCCCCGAGAGGAGGAATGGAGACTTTTCTGAACTGAGCCAGGCCAAGAGAGAAGACCAGCTCTGGCTAAGCGGTGGCCAAGAGTACGGGCGGAAGACAACCCTCCAGAGTTGGCCAGTTAAGACTGGGGCCCAGCCGCTTAGGCAAAAACAGGACCCGGTCACCAGAGAAGCTCTTCAAGGTATCCAGGTCCGTCTCAAGCACCTAAGAACTTGTGGAATGATACTTCCTTGTCATTCGCCATGGAACACTCCCCTCCTGCCTGTTCCCAAGCCACAGACCAAGGTCTACAGGCCGGGACAGGATTTGCGCTTGCTTCGTCAAGCTACACTGACTTTCCATCCAACAGTACCTAACCCGTCCACATTGTTGGGGTTGCTGCCAGCTGAGGACAGCTGCTTCACCTGCTTGGACCTGAAAGACGCTTTCTTTCCTATCAGATTAGCCCCTGAGAGGCAGAAGCTCTTTGCCTTTCAGTGGGAAGGTCCGGAGTCAGGTGTCACTACTCAGTACACTTGGACCGGTCTTCCCCAAAGGTTCAAGAACTCCCCCACCATCTTCGGTGAGGCGTTGGCTCGAGACCTCCAGAGGTTTCCAACCAGAGACATAGGCTGCGCTTTGCTCCAGTAGGTTGAGCTTTTGCTGGGACACCCCAGGTCAGTCGGGTGCGCCAAGAGAACGGATTGCCCTACGCCAACACCTGGAGGACTGTGGGTATAATGTGTCCAAGAAAAAAGCTCAGATCTCCTGACAGCAGGTACGTTACTTCATATTCTGAATAAGATTACAAGGTGTACAGCCCCTGCGATATTAGGGGTAACATTTCCATAAAATATCACAAATGATATCACTGTTTGTACACCACGTGTGACATTAGGAGTAACATCCCTGGAAACGATTATGAATAACCTCACAGATTGTACACTCTCTGTGATATTAGAAGTTAACATCTTTCTAGAATGCGAAGAATAACATCGCAGGATATACACCGCTGTGACATAAGGAGTAACATCACTCTAGGATATTACGAATAATATAACAAATTGTACACAATTTGTATGGTGGGAGTAACATCCCCCTGGGATACTCCGAATTATAGCACAGAAACCACACCCCCTGTGACAATAGGCGTAACATCCCCTTAGGATATTACGAATAATATCACAAGGTGAACAGGCATGGTGACACTAGTAACAATATCCAGCTAGTAGATTGTGAATAATATCACGGCGTGCACACATTTGCGACATTAGGAGTAACATCCCCCTAGAATATTATGAATAACATAACAGGGTGTACACAGCCTGCGACTTTAGGGTAATTATCCCCCTGGATTACTACAAATAATTTCACAGGATGTTAAACTCCTCTGACAATAGAAATAATATACTTCTACGATATAACGAATAGTATCACAGTGTGTACACCCACTGCGATATTAAAAGTTATACCTCCCTCACATATTGTGAATAATATCACAGGGTGTACACCATGTGTGCACACCCACTGTGATTTTTAAAGTAATATCTCCTCAGGATATTAGGAATAATATCAAGGGGTGTACACACCCTATGACATTAAGATAACATCTCTTTAGGATATTTGAAATAATATCCCAGGGTGTACACCCCATGTGACATTACAAGTAACATCTTCGTAGGATATTACAAATAAGATCCCAGGGTTGACAGCCCCTGTGATTTTAAAAGTAAAATCCCGCTAGAATATTAGTAATAATAACACAGGGTGTACACCCCTGTGACGTTGGGAGTAACATCCTCCCAGGATATTACGAATAATATCAGAAGGTGTACACACATGGTGACATTAGTAGTAGTATCCCGCTAGTATATTGTGAATACTATCCCAGGGCATACACACCTGTGACTTTAGGAGTAACATCCCCCTGGAATATTCCGAATAATATCACAGGGTGTACACCTCCTGTGACTTTAGGAGTATCATCCCGCTAAAGTATTACGAATAATGTCACAGGGGGTTAGCCTGTGTAATATCACAGGGTGTACACCCCCTGTGACATTAGGAGTAACATCTTTCTAGAACATCACGGGTAATATCACAGCGTGTACAACCTTTGTGATATTTAAAGTAAAATCCCCCTGAGATATTCCGAATAATATCACAGGGAGTACACCCCATGTGACATAGGAGGAATGACCCATGAGGATATAACGGATAATATCAGAGGGTGTACACGTATTGTGGCATTAGTAGTAACATCCCACCAGGATATTACGAATAATATCACAAGGTGTACACGCCGGGTGACATTAATTTATGTCACAATCCCCTAGAATACGACCCATAACATTACAGGGTGTAGAACACCTGTGATTTATGAGTAACATTTCTATAGAATATTACAAGTAATATCATTTGGTGTGCACCCCGTGTGACATAAGTTGTAACATACCACGAAACTGTGATGAATAATTTCAAAAGGTGTGTACACTCTGTGACATTAAAAGTCACATCTCGCTAGGATATTACGAATAATATCACAGGGTATACAGCCCCTGTGACATGAGGAGTCATGTCTTTTTAGGATATCACGGCTAATATAACAAGATGTACACACCCTGTGACATTAGGTGTAACATCCGTCTAGGAGACTACGAATACTATCGCAGCGAACACAACCCCTGTGACAATATGAGTAACATCCCCGTAGGATATTAGGAATAATATCACAAGGTGTACATGCATTGTGACTTCAGTGCTAATATCCCTCTCATATACTGTGAATAATATCACAGGGTGTGCACCCCTGTGATATCACATTAGGAGTAACATCTCCCTAGAGTATTACGAATAATATCATGGGGGGAACACACGCCTTTGGTTTTGGACTAATATTCCCCTAGGATGTTACTAATAATATCACAGTGTGGACAATCACTGTGATATTAGCAGTCCCATTTTCCAAGGATATTATGAATAATATCACAGTACGTTTTCATACATAATGTGTACACCATGTGTCTACACCCAATGTGATATTTGAAGTAATATATCCCTGGGTCTTAGGACTAACATCAAAGGGTGTACACCCCATGTGACATTCAAAGTAACATTCCCTGTGGATATTGCGAGTGGTATCACAGGGTGTGATATTAGGAGTAACCTCTTCCTAGGATAACACATGTGATATTAGGAGTAACCTCTTCCTAGGATATTACGAATAACATTACAGGGTGTACACCCCTGTGACTTTAAAAGGAACACCCCCCTAGAATATTACAATAATAGAACAGGGTGTACAATCCCTGTGACATTAAGAGTAACATCTCCCCAGGATATTACGAATAATGTCACTGGGGGCACACTCTCTGTGATATTAGCAGCAACATCTTTCTAGGATATTACGAATGATATCACAGGGTGTAAACTCACGGTGATATTAGAAGGAATACCTCCCTAGGATATGAGCTATCATATCACAGAGTGTACACACATGGTGTACACCCACTGTGTTATTAGCAGGAATATCTCCCTATGATATTATGAAAAATATCACAGGGTGTACCCTCTGTGGGTTACTAGAAGTAATGTTTACCATGGATATTACAAATAATATCACAGGGTATACCCACATGGGGTACACCCACTGTGATATTAGGAGTTATATCTCTTGAAGAAATTACAAATAATATCCCAGTGGGTGTACCCCATGTGTGTACACCCACTGGGATATTTAAAGTAATATCTCTCTATAAGATTACAAATAATATCGAAGGGTGTACACCCCCTGTGACATTATAGGAGTGACATCCCCCTACAATATTGGGAACAATATCACACGGTGTACATCCCTGTAACTTTATGAGTAACATCCCCCCTGAATATTACTAATAATATCACGTGTACACGCATTTGGCATTAGTAGTAATATCCTGCTAGCATATTTTCAATAATATCACAGAAGGAACAGGCCTGTGACATTAAGACTAACATCACCCTAGAAGAGTAAGAATAATAACATGGGGTGTACACCATCTGTGACATTGGGAGTATCATCTCGCTAGAATATTACGAATAGTGTCACAGGGTGTTATCTTCTGTGCCAATAGGAGTATAGACCCCTGGGTAATTATGAATACTATCACAGGCTGTACACGCCTGTGACATTAGGAGTAACATCTTTCTACAATATCATGAATAATATCTCAATGTGTACACCCCTGTGTCATTAAAAGTAAAATTGCGCTAGGACATTAGGAAATAGAACACAGGGAGTACACCCCGTGTGACATTAGAAGTAACATCCCCCGTGGATATAACGAATAATGTCAGAGAATGTACCTGCATTGGGACATCAGTAGTAACATCTCTTCAGGACAGTACGAATAATATCAAAGTGTGTACACGCATTGTGAAATGAGTAGTGAACTCCTGCTAGGATATTAGGAATTTCATGACAGGGTCTACACGCCCTGTGACATTAGCAGTAACGTTTTCCTGGAATATTATGAAGAATATGAAAGGGTGTACAGGACCTGTGAATTACGAGTAACATTTCTATAGAATATTACATGGAACATCACTGTGTGTCCACCCCGTGTGACATTAGGGGTAACATCCCACAAAATTATAACGAATAATTTCACAAGGTGTACACCCTCTGTGACATTAAAAGTCACATTTCCCTAGAATAGGACGATAATATCACAGAGTGTACACCCTCTGTGATATGAGGAGTGACATCTTATGAGGATAATACGAGTGATTTGACAAGGTGTACAAACCCTGTGACATAAGAGGTGACATCCCTCTAGGATATTATGAATAATATCAAAGCGAACATAGCCCGTGTGACAATAAAAGTAACCTCCCCATAGGAGAATAAGAATAACACCACAAGGTATACACACATTGTGACATTATTCTTAATGTCCCGCTAGGATACTGGGAATAACTTCACAGTGTGTACGGTCCTGTGACATCAGGATTAATATTCCCCGATGAATAATATGTAATTAATATTATGAATAATGCAGCAGGGTGTATACCCCGGTGACTTTACTAGTGGCATCTTGCTAGAATATGGAAAATAATGTCCCAGGGTGTGAACCCAGGATGGCAGTAGAGAAAAGATCCTAGGAAAAATCGGGGAGTAATATCAACCCCCTCTCCCCACCTGGGTATTACGATTCCCGTCGCAAGGGGGCGGACGCCCCCCGCGATGCGGGGAGTAATATCACCCCCCGGTCCCCCCCTGGATATTAGGATCCACGGTGGTCACAGCGTGTTGACGTTATTGTCAGTAATATCTTCTCTGCCTCTGGAAATTACCAACTATGTCACAGACGGGTGCACATCCTCTGTACTATTTGCAGTAATAGCATCCTCTTCCCCCTGGATATTAAGAACAATATCACGGGAGTGTTTCTGCCCCCAGCGGCATTGGGTGTAGTATCGTCCTCTCCCATGTTGAAATTAGGACCAATATCACTGGGGGCGTGTCCATCCCATGCGATATTGAAAGTAACATCATCCTCTTCTCTCCTGGATCATGGGAACAATATCCCTGGGGTGGTGTACGCTTTCTGTGCTATTGGGAGTAGGGTTATCCTCTCCCCCTTGGAATATTAAGGATCATATCACAGGGGGGCTGTACACACCCTGCGTTATTAAGAAGAATATTATCCTCCCCCGCCCTGCACATTACAAAAAATATCACAGAGTGGGTGTACACCTCCTGCGGTATGGGGGGTATTATCATCTTCTCCTCTTCTGGATAATAGCAACAATAGTACACGGGTTTGTACACTTTCTGTGATATTGGGAGTAATATTAACCTCTCCACCTTTGAATGTTAAGAACAATATCATAGACTGGATGTAGACCCCCTGCCATATTGGGAGTCATATCAGCCTCTCCTCTCCATGGATATTAGGAAGAATATCCCAGGATGGGTGTACACCTCCTGCTGTCTGGGGAGTCATATCGTCCTCTCCCTTCCTGGCTACTAGGAACAATATCAGAGGGTGGGTGTACACAGCCTGCGATATTGGGAGTAATATCACCCTCTCCCCCTCCGGATATTAGGAACAATGTCACAGAAAGGGTGTACATTTCCTGTGATACCGGGAGTAATAGCATTCTCTTTTTCCGTGAATATGAGGAGGAACATCACCGGGTGGATGCGCACCCAGTGCTATATTGGGAGTAACGTCATACGCCATCCCCTGGAGATGAGATTCGGATCAATATCACCGGGTGGGTGTACAGCTACTGCGATATTGAACGTAATATCATGCTCTCTCCCTTCCTGGACATTATGAACAATATCACAGGTGGGTGTACACCCACTGAGGTTTTAGGTGTACTATTAGTATTAATTCATCCTCATTTATTATTAACATGAATATCTATTACCAATATTGATATTAATATTAAGAAATCATTGCTCATAAAGTGTTCAGATTATTAATATTAATATTAATTATTAAGAGCTAATATGACTGTTTTCTAATGAATAAGATCAATATCAGTTATTAATATCAGGTGTCATTAATCATTAATATTAATCATTTATTGTTATCGTGAGTATAACTCTTTAATGTGAATTATCATTATTATCGCTATTGATTTTAAGAATTATATGATCAGTTATTAATATTGATAGTTATTAGTCTCAATTAATAATTGATACCATTAATCGCGGTAAGTCACATTGTGCCATTCCACCCCTCCCTCGACAGCTGGTTTACGACCCAAAACGGGGATCCAAATGCCCCTGAGAGAGCAGCGGTATACTGGGATAGAGGAGGATGGTCACGTAGTGGAGAGGCGTGTTTTTGGGTACCAGGCCTTCACCTCTGCCGACCTTCTCAACTGGGAAAACAATACACCGCCCTCTACCGAAAAGCCACAAGCCCTAATTGATTTGCTCCAAACTGTTATCCAGACCCACAACCCCACCTGGGCTGATTGCCACCGGTTGCTCATGTTCCTCTTTAACAGAGATGAAAGGCGGAGAGGGCTCCAAGCAGCAACTAAGTGGCTAGAGGAATATGCACCAGCTGATTGTCAAAACCCCCAAGAGTATGGAAGGACCCAGTTACCAGGAACCAACCCCCAGATGGACCCACATGAAAGAGAGGATATGCAAAGGCTAAACCCAGACAGGGAAGCTCTCTTGGAAGGATTAAAGAGGGGAGCTCAGAAGGCCACAAACGTTAACAAGGTCTCTGAGGTTATTCAGGGAAAAAGAAGAAAGTCCAGCACAATTATACGAGAGACTGTGTAAGGCCTATCATATGTATACTCCCTTTGATCCCGATAGCCCTGAAATAAGCACGTGATTCCCATGGCCTTAGTCCGTCAAAGCGCTGGCTCTTCACTTTACAAATGTAAATCCTGAGGCTGCAATCCTAAGTTGTTAGCTCAAGGTCATGCAACTGTACATTACCATATTCTATGACCATACTTTTCATCATTAGTAAGTAGGCAAAGATCTTTATAGTTTTCTTTTTTTTTTTTTTTTTGAGATGGAGTCTCCCTCTGTCGCCCAGGCTGGAGTGCAGTGGCGGGATCTTGGCTCACTGCAAGCTCTGCCTCCTGGGTTCACACCATTCTCCTGCCTCAGCCTTCTGAGCAGCTGGGACTACAGGCAGCCGCCACCACTCCCAGCTAATTTTTTGTATTTTTTAGTAGAGACAGGGTTTCACCCTGCTAGCCAGGATGGTCTTGATTTCCTGACCTCATGATTCACCCTCCTCGGCCTCCCAAAGTGCTAGGATTTTAGGTGTGGGTCACTGTGCCCAGCCTGCTGGGAGATTTCTATCACTACTTCCCAGCAGTCACTAGTGGAGGACTTCTTCCATGGGGGGCATTATTCCTTGACACTTCCAGTTTGCCCAGCAAGAGGCAAAGGACTCCAGGGGCAAGAGAAAGACCTTGGGCCACAAGACCCATATCTGGCATCTCAAAGCAATGTTCTAGTAAAGACATAAATGCCAGGAATGGGTATAGGTGGAGCACTAAGACTATCTGCTATAAGAAAATATGTCACTAGTCTAACCATTGGGATGATTTCAAAGGTGTTTTCCCATACTTAATGGTGATCACACCACAGTTATTATGGACAGAGGCCAGGTGTGGTGGCTCACACCTGAAATGCCAGCACTTTGGGAGGCTGAGGCGGGCAGATCACTTGAGGTCAGGAGTTTGAGACCACCCTGGCCAACGTGATGAAATCATATCTCTATTAAATATATAAAAATTAGATGGGTATGGTAGTGCACACCTGTAATTCTAGCTACTTGGGAGGCTGAGGCATGAGAATCACTTGAACCCGGGAGGCAGAGGTTGCAGTGAATCGAGATTGCACCACTGCACTCCAGCCTGGGCGACAGAGCGAGACTCTGTCTCAAAATAAAATAAAATGGACAAAAAGAGCAGGACCAAGAAAGTACAACTTTAATGCATCTGCAGCCAGTTCTTAGAACAGGACAAGGTGATTAGCAGATACCAATTCTCATGGCTTTTGTGTTTCACAAAACATTAAACTGCAGACTGCATCTTGAATTATTTCATCAAATGACAAACACATGATGTAGAAGGAAATGATGAATACTTAAAATATAATTGACAAGTAATACAAAGAAGACAGGCTAGTAAGCATAAATTTTCACTTTGTGGACTTCTTTGTCATCACATTCCCTCTGTTTGTTGTAGTAATAGAACGTATTGTCCCTTCTCTGAAGTTTCTTCACATATCCTGTCTCCGGCCAACGATCTACCTGCACATCAAGAACCAGAGTACAAACGTTACAATGGAGGGTTGATTTTTATCTCATATTTTACTATCAAATAGTTAAAAAGTATGACTTACAGAAACAAAGTATAAGATTAGATTTTAGAATGCTTGAGCTTTTAAAGTATGATACCCACAAGACACATCTTACATTGCAGCCTTATGCTGTAAGATAACTAATTCAGGCCGAGTGCAGTAGCTCATGCCTGTAATCCCAGCACTCTGGGAGGCTGAGGCAGGTGGATCAATTGAGGTCAGGAGTTCAAGACCAACCTGGCCAACATGGTGAAACAATGCCTCTACTAAAAATACAAAAATTAGCTGGGTGTGGTGGTAGGTGCCTATAATCCCAGGTACTCAGGGGGCTGAGGCAGAAGAATCCATTGAACTCTGGAGGCAGGGGTTGCAGTGACTCTAGATGGCGCCACTGCACTCCAGCCTGGGTGACAGAACAAGACCCTGCCTCGGAAAAAAAAAAAAAAGACAACTAATTCAGTGCTTTTCTCTAGAGCCCAATTTCTAGGTTTATTTTATTTTGTTTTATTTTGGAGACAGAGTCTTGCTACATTGCCCAAGCTGTCCTGGAACTGCTGTAGTCAAGTGATCCTCCCAGCTCGGCCTCCCAAGTGCTGGAATTACAGGCCTGAGCCACTGCACCCAGCTCCAATTTCTAGATTTAAATTTCAATACTGTGGCCAAGATAAGACAAAACATTCCAAGTAATCTAAACTTCATTTCTCTTATGTTTACAAAAGATTTTAAACATTCTAACTTCTAAAATTAATACCACAGGAGGAAATTAGGGCTAAGCCCAGGCTCCATTTTGTAAGTGCTGCCTGCTGATTGTTGATGAATACACAGTGAATAAAGCAAGCAACTCAAGAACTATCCAAAAGTGTATATGCATTTCCTTCTGCCCCAATTTCAAGTTCACCTTGAAATCCATTTTTTTTTTTGAAACAGGGTCTCACTCTGTCTCCGAGGCTGTAGTGCGGTGTTGTGATCATAGCTCACTACAGCCTCAACCTCCTGGGCTCAGGGGATCCTCCAGCCTCTGCCTCCCGAGTAGTTAGAACTACAGGTAAGCACCACCATGCCCAGATAAGTTTTCTATTTTTCTTTTTTTTTTTTGTAGAGACAGGGTCTCACTATGTTGCCCAGGCTGGTCTCAAACTCCTGGCCTAAAGCAGTCCTCCTACCTTGGCTTCCCAAAGTGTCAAAAATCTTTTTTTTAATTTCTTCTACCATTCTTTATTGTTGTTATTATTATTATTATTATTATCATTATTATTATATGTTGCCGAGGTTGGTCTCAAACTCCTGGTCTCAAATGATCCTCCTGTCTTGGCTTTCCAAAGTGTTGGGATTGCAGGTGTGAGCCACTGTCCCCAGTCATCTCCTACCATTCCTTCTTGTATACCATATTGGTTTATCTACTTTTTCATTTGGCTTGATCTAATTTGGAGATCTGTCTCTCCACTTCCTCTTCAATGTTATCCCTTCCTGGCCAGGTTAATGTATTTCACCACTGTCAAATATGTTCCTTTCAGATTTTGTGAGATGCACTTTATCATAACCAAAAACTCATTATCTAGGTTGTAGAAAACCAAATCCTGCTCTTCAACACCATCTATACAGGCAGTCCTGCACCCTTTCTCCAAATCCTGTTCTTCAACACCTTCTATACAGGTAGTCCTGCACCTTTTCTGTTCCCCATGAATAAATCTCAGCTTTCAGTAGGAAGAGGAGATGAATATACCATCTGTGTCCACATGTCTTTTACTTTCTAATAACACATCTTCATTTTTTGTGTCATCTCATTTACTTATGAATTAGCGAGAATAGGTAACAGCATATCTGAGAAGCCTTGGCAGGCCTTCTGACATACATTACAGAAAACCAGCAGTCCTTTCCACCACTGAGGCCACACCTGCCTGTGTGGCTTCCAATACCTTTGGCAGGGAAAGGAGGTGTTCTCAAGACTCCATTACAGCCCTCTTCCCTCCTGGGGCCAGGAGCAGATTATCTGAAAGCCATCTGATCCGGTGAGAAAACAGTACAACCAATGCCTCTTCCGAACATCTGGAGCTGAGCTACTTGATATGGGACAATCCTTAGGACAGCTAAGTTGCTCCTTTGCTTGTTGACTTCTAGACATTTTTCCTTTTGATGTCCCTTGGCATCTCTGAACTTTCTTTTCTTCTTGACTTTCAACTTGATCATTTCCATTTGATCTGGGAAACTTTCTTGCCTGTGGTGGAATGGAATGAGATCCTCAAGTTCAAGGACTTTCCCCTCAGGAGGGAAGGTCAGCAAGCACTATACCACCAGGTAATGAAAAACAGCTTCTCTCAAACCTCAAACCACTGCACACTGGGAGAAACATCCCACCCAAAGCAAGCCTTCAGTCACCATCCTATCCGTCCCTGAAGACCCACTGCAAATGCCACTGGGGACACTAAGCCCTCTCTGGGGATTGTCCCTGGAAGGAAGTGATTTTGTTTTCCTCTAAATCCCTGTGCTTCTTTTTGTTAAGGAACATATACTTCGATTTGTGTAAGGTTTTATTGTTCTTGTTACTTATTTTAGAATCTAAGATGATGAGATTAATAAAAGGTATCATTTACTAAACACTTGCTGTTCCTTCAGTCAACAAATTTTTTGTGGGGGAGTCTCGCTCTGTCGCCCAGGCTGGAGTGCAGTGGCATGATCTCAGCTTACTGTAACCTCCCCCTCCCGGGTTCAAGTGATTCTCCTGCCTCAGCCTCCCTAGTAGCTGGGATTACATGTGTGCACCACCATGCCCGGCTAATTTTGTGTATTTTTAGTAGAGACAGGGTTTCACCATGTTGGCCAGGCTGGTCTCTAACTCCTGACTGCAGGTGAACGGCCCGCCTCTGCCTCCCAAAGTGCTAGGATTACAGGCGTGAGCCACTGTGCCCAGCCCAACAAATTATGAGCACTATAATGTCAGGCACTTCAAACATGTGATTACATTTAATTCTTGTGACAACTTTCTTTTCTTTTTTCCTTTTTTCTTTTTTTTTTTTTGAGACAGGGTCTTGCTCTCTCACCCAGGCTGGTGTGCAGTGATGTGATCACAGGTCACTGCAGCCTCGATCTCCTGCACTCAAGCAATCCTCCCACCTGAGCCTCCCAGTAGCTGGGACTACAGAGACACTCCACCATGCCTGGCTAATTAAAAAAAGTTTTTTGTAGAAATGGGTTCTCACTATGTCACCCAGACTGGTCTCAAAATCCTGGCCTCAAGCAATCCTTCACCCTCAGCCTCCCAAAGCACTGGGCTTAGAGGCGTAAGCCACCACAGCTGGCCGCCTATGAGTCTGAGGCTTGTGTATCTTTAGGGGCATCCCAATCTTAAGGCAGGGTATGAAACTTATTTTATTTATTTATTTATTTGAGATGGAGTTTCACTCTTGTTGCCCAGGCTGGAGTGCAATGGCGTGATCTCGGCTCACTACAACCTCCACCTCCTGGTTTCAAGTGATTCTCCTGCCTCGGCCTCCCGAATAGCTAGGATTACAGGCATGTGCCACCATGCCTGGCAAGTTTTGTATTTTTAGCAGAGATAGGGTTTCTCCATATTGGTCAGGCTGGTCTCAAACTCCCAACCTCAGATGATCCACCTGCCTCGGCCTCCCAAACTGCTGGGATTACAGGTGTGAGCCAACACGCCCAGCCCAAAGCTTATTTTAAACAGCATAAAAATGATAATGCTTCTGTTTTTTCTGTTTAAAAGCCATAGATGATATAGTAATGAAAATTATCCTTGGCAATGGGGATAGAGTATAATGGTTGAGAAGACAGATACATGGAAGTCACAGTAATCAATCTTCACTTGATCAGTATTTTAAATTCTATTGTTAACCACAATAATGTCATTAAATTAATGTCTATTAAAGAGGTAATAACATGATAGTTCCGTATTGCCTCCATTATTTTTCCTATGTACTTTTAAAATTTTAATTTAATTAATTAATTTATTTATTTGAGATGGGGTTTCGCTTTGTTGCCCAGGCTGTAGTGTAATGGTGTGATCTCAGCTAACTGCAACCTCTGCCTCCTGGGCTCAAGTGATTCTCCTGCCTCAGCCTCCCAAGTAGTTGGGACTACAGGTGCATGCCACCATGCCCGGCTAATTTTTGTATTTTTAGTAGAGACAGGGTTTCACCATGTTGGCTAGGCTGGTCTCAAACTCATTACCTCAAGTGATCTGCCTACCTCGGCCTCCCAAAGGGCTGGGATTGCAGGCGTGAGCCACCACTCCCAGCCTCCTATGTACTTTTAAAGGAATTTTTAAGTAGAGGTCAAAGAATAGAATAAAAGAAAAAGAAGAGCTTATAGTGATCTGCAAAATCTACACATTAGAATCTGAAAAATGATGAGTTAGTAAAAAATAAAAATAAACAACTGAGTTAATAAACACTGTTATAATCCCAAATCTAAAAATTAAAATATATTTATGAATACTATGTCATATTTTACAATACAGTTGACCCTTGACCAATGCAAGTTTGAACTTGGGGAGTCCATATATACATGGATTGTTTTCAAAAAATTTGTTGAAATTTTTTTTGAGATTTGCAACGATTTGAAAAAAGTTGCAAACCACACAGACTATAAATATCAAAAATAATTAAGAAAAGGTTTGTCATGAATGCATAAAATATATCAAGATATTAGTGTATTCCTGGGTTGATCAATTATTCACCTTATGGGCAAGAGTTTCTGTTAACACTAGGTTACTAGTAGTTGTTTTGGGGAGTCAAAAGTTATACACAAATTTTTGACGGCATGAAGCATTGAAGCCCCTAGTCCCTGTGTTGTTCAGGGGTGAACTGAATTTGTAAAAACACGTCTCTTAAGAATCACTTGAACCCGGGAGGTGGAGGTTGCACTGAGCCGAGATTGCGCCAGTGCACTCCAGCCTGGGTGACAGAGTGAGACTCTGTCTCAAAAAAAAAAAAAAAAAATATCTTAGTAGCCAAGAGAATAAATAAGTTAAGAAGAACCACACTGTATAAACGGGAGCCAAATCTAGACTTTGGTCTAGCCTTCATAAAGCAAAGCTAGGTCTCTACCCTCTCAGGAAAGCCTGGGATATACTATCAAAGTCACGAGTTGTTCTAACACTTTTGTTTGTAAGGTATAATTGCCCCAAAAACCACAGGATTTTAACCTCTTTCTAATTCATGGTTAAAATAAAAAGTAACAGGAGGGAAATAATAGTTACCCAACATACTGATTATCTGATAATGAAATCACCTGAGTGAGGAAAAAAGCTTTTTTTTTGTGGTCTACCGCAAAAGATTCATTTAGCAGAGCACAGTTGCTCAATAAAAGAGAAAATTCTGAATGTGCCCAGCTAAACGACCACCTCTTCTCCCACTCTGCCTGCAAATCATTCTTCTGGGCCTCTCCCCGTTAATAAGATGAGAGAGTCTGGCTGGGCGTCCTGGCTATTGCCTGTAATCCTAGCACTCTGGAAGGCTTAGGCGCGTGGATCACTTGAGGTCAGGAGTTCAAGACCAGCCTGGCCAAACACGGCAAAATCCCGTCTCTACAAAAATACAAAAATTAGCCAGGCGTGGTGGTGCACGCCTGTGATCCCAGCTACTCACGAGGCTGAGGCAAGAGAATCCCTTGAATCCGGGAGGTGGAGTGTGCCGAGATTGCGTCACTGCACTCCAGCCTGGGTGACAGAATGAGACTCTGTCTCAAAAAATAAAATAAAAGTAAATAAAAGAAAACAAATAAAATGAGAGAGTTGGAGTCGAATTTCCTTCAGTTATTCTCTGGTTGTTTATAAAATACTTTTCAGCATCTGAGAAATACATTTCGAGTTGAGGTTTGTAGAGACAGAAATCTTACCATAGAAACTTGTTTCACTTGTCTATATTCGGTTTCATCCCGATATCCTGCTTGTTGAAATCTGTACAGATTTTCTATCTCTTCTGACCATTTTTTGGCATGACTTACTGATTTTGGTTTTACGTCAGAACTAGCCATGGTTACAGAGGCCTTATTATCAATAATATCTGAAAGATGTTAAAACAACATTAATGGATAATGTAATAGTGACAATTTTGAAATTCCCTTTAAGAATAAACAAAACTGGCCGGGTGCGGTGGCTCACACCTGTAATCCCAGCACTTTGGGAGGCTGAGGCAGGTGGATCATGAGGTCAGGAGTTTGAGACCAGCCTGGCCAACATGGTGAAACACCGTCTCTGCTAAAAATACAAAAATTAGCTAGGCATGGTGGTGCACGCCTGTCATCCCAGCTACTGGGGCAGCTGAGCCAGGAGAATGGCTTGAACCCAGGAGGTGGAGGTTGCAGTGAGCTGAGATTGTGCCACCGCACTCCAAGCTGGGTGACAGAGCAAGACTCCATCTCAAAAAAAAAAAAAAAGAATAAATAAAACTAACACTTAAAAATTATACTTAGAGTTGAGAATCCCATTAAATATAGTAGTTTTTAAACATACAATTCCAAGATTGAGAAGGATTCATGCTCTATTTTGTGGGGATAAAACTGTAAGAAACAAACAAAAAAAACCCCAAGTCCCTGAAAGATACATACAAAACTGTTTTTTTCTTTATCAATAAAATCCCAGTCAGAGTTGGAGTTACGGAGTGATGTTCTAAAAGCTGTATGCAAATACTGGAGTTCCAGGTAATAGTTTGCACATTTCTGAAAACATGCTCAGTAGATTGTCAAAATATCCACCACCATTCCATTACTTATATTCAAAGCTGCACCTCTCTCTCTCTCTCTCTCTCTCTCTCTCTCTCTCTCTCTCAAAAAGGGAATGTAAGACCCGTCTTCTCACTCTGTTCGCTTTCTTGTTTCTGGGAGGGGATGGTTTATTCTTTTTCACTTCTTAATTGCTTGGAGACATCCCAATTGCTGCAATTCATTTACTGAGGTCACTGTAGTACCTGATCTTTTGATGAACTAATGTGAGAAAATGGCCTAACACAGATTCCATGCACACTGTGTGGCTGTCGTGGTACTGAGACCATGGATTTAAAAACAGTGTAGGAGGTCACTAATAGTCTTGGAAAGTCTAATATACGACTTTAGTTCATGTAATTGTCTATTCACCGAACTTCCATAGCAAGTTTTTCAAAGGCATAATCTTACACTTGTTTTCTCAGCTACTTATTTTATTAACAAAATATATCAGTCATTTAACTGAAATAAAGTGTACAGAATTTTCACTATGATTCCTTGAATGCATTCTTCTATTAAAATATATTTCTATTGGCTGAAACACATTAAAGTCAGATCCTGTAAATAAATTAATATTTTATGAATTTTTTTCAATCACAATAACAAATGCTCATTATGTTTAAAAGGTCAAGAAATACATTAAAGGTATAACAGGGAAAGGCTGGACATGGTGGCTCGAGCCTGTAATCCCAGCAGTTGGGGAGACTGAAGTCAGGAGACCTGAGGTCAGGAGTTCAAGACCAGCCTGGCCAACATGGTGAAACCCCGTCTCTATTAAAAATACAAAATTAGCCAGGCATGGTGGCACATGCCTGTAATCCCAACTACTTGGGAGGCTGAGGCATGACAATCACTTGAACCTGGGAGGTGGAGGTTGCAGTGAGCTGAGATCACACCATTGCACTTTAGCCTGGGCAACATGAGCGAAACTCCTTCTCAAAAAGGAAAAAAAAAAAATGAACTGGGCGTGGTAGCAGGTGCCTGCAATCACAGCTACTTGGGAGGCTGAGGCTTGAGAATCGCTTGAAACCCAGGAGGTGGAGGTTGCACTCCAGCCTGGGTGACAGAGCAAGACTCTGGCTCCAAAAAAAAAAAAAAAAAAAAAAGTATACATATATATGTGTGTGTGTGTGTATATATATATATATATATATATACACACACACACACACACACACTCTTATATACATATATATAAAGGAAAACTCAAAATAAGCATGACATTAATTAGAAATATCCATCCTTCATACTGGGTAAAAATCATGCTAAATATACGATTAATTAACATAGACTTAAAAGTTTTATTTAAAAGGATCTTCTAATAAATGCTTTTACAAGACATAAATTTAGCTTCACTTGGATTTAATAGAGGAAAAATAGGAAATGGAAATAAAATAGACAGACTTGCTGAATTTCAGACAAATATTTCTTCAATATGAAAGATGTAGCCTAAATGTTCCCTTAGTGGTTGGTAAAAAAAGATAATGAAGACTGTTAGGAGGCTAAGTCACAAGTACCAATGGACTCTTTTCTATGAAAAACAAGAAAGATGTTCTAATGCTCTTCCTATTTAGATTTTTGTTAAATTACTTAACATTCTAAATATTATAGTGTTTATATTGTATTCTTTTTTTTTTTTTTTTTTTGAGACGGAGTCTCGCTCTGTCACCAGGCTGGAGTGCAGAGGCGCGATCTCGGCTCACTGCAAGCTCCACTTCCCAGGTTCATGCTATTCTCCTGCCTCAGCCTCCTGAGTAGCTGGGACTACAGGCGCCCACTACCATGCCCAGCTAATTTTTTGTATTTTTAGTAGAGACGGGGTTTCACTGTGTTAGCCAGGATGTTCTGGATCTCCTGAACTCATGATCCGCCTGCCTCAGCCCCCCAAAAGGCTGGGATTACAGGCGTGAGCCACCACGCCTTGCCAAATTTTTATATTTTTAGTAGAGATGGGTTTCACCATGTTTCTCAGGCTGGTCTTGAACTCCTGGCCTCAAGTGATCGTGTACCTCGGCCTCCCAAAGTGCTGTGATTACAGGTGTAAGCCACCGCACCCGGTCCAGTTTTACAGTATTATACGAGTTTATGTAAAATTTGGAACACCTGGCAAAACAAATAAGCCACGCTTCAGTGAAACCTTTGTCCTTTAATGCCATTCATTCTAGTGGGAAGTTCACTACTCCACTGCTGCACAATATAATAGCAATATACCAGCTATGACAAAGAGGTGAGTTGGACATGTGATACAGCCTAAGAATCCATTCATATATATAATATGAAACATTACACAGGAATATAGATATATTACACAGGAAAAAGGTTCTAAGAAATATTAAAGAAAAAAGTTAGGCTGGGCGTGGTGGCTCACGCCTGTAATCCCAGCACTTTGGGAGGCCGAGGTGGGTGGATCACCTGAGGTCGGGAGTTCGAGACTAGCCTGACCAACATGGAGAAACCCGTCGCTACTAAAAATACAAAATTAGCCGGGCGTGGTGGCGCATGCCTGTAATCCCAGCTAATCAGGAGGCTGAGGTAGGAGAATTGCTTGAACCTGGGGGGCAGAGGTTGCAGTGAGCCAAGATCGTGCCATTGCACTCCAGCCTGGGCAACAAGAGCAAAACTCTGTCTAAATTAAGAGAGAAAAAAAAAAGTTAGTGAATTCACTGTATTAAAATACTTTCAGGACAGGACGGTGGCTCACGCCTGTAATCCCAGCACTCTGGGAGACTGAAGTGGGTGGATCACGAGGTCAGGAGTTCAAGACCAGCCTGGCCAAGATGGTGAAACCCCGTGTCTACTAAAAATATAAAAATTAGCCAGGCATGGTGGCGCATGCCTGTAATTCCAGCTAATCAGGAGGCTGAGGCAGAGAACTGCTTGAACCTGGGAGATGGAGGTTGCAGTGAGCCGAGATGGTGCCACTGCACTCCAGCCTGGGTGACAGAGCGAGACTGTCTGAAAAAAAGAAAAAAAAAAAAAATTCCAAATTAGTCATATTTTTATATGAATTTAGTGACTGTATTACTTACAGGACTTTTACAGATGAAGCACATGTAGTGATACAATCTTAATTTTTGTCTTATCTATGCCCTTTTTGCTTTAGGCTTGACTTTTTGCTCATATTCATTCGAAACGTATTTTCTTGAATGCCATCTATGTAACCTTTTGTCACTTTCAGCTCAAAAAATTATGGCAACTATACATAAAAATGCTACATTTAATAGAAGAGCAGAAAATATGCTGTATTCAATTGGACTTTGGGGGAAATCACCACTTTTCTCAGTAGAAATAGACATCCTCCGGTTATTATTAAGCATTTCAAAATTTTATTTTCCCAAAATACCTAAAGAGAATATGAATGTAAATTTCACCATAGTAGGAACTCTAGTGACTACTGTAACTACGCTATATAAGTGGTGGTGGAAATTCTTTTTTTTTGCCCTTACTTTCAGTTTATTAAAAACACAAAATGAAACTAAAATTAGGAAAGATCAACTTACAATTCCTTGATTAAATTTTTCAGTGATTCTAGGAAATTCAGTGGCAGTTCTAATTCTGCTAGTACTTAGCTCTTGCAGACTGAGTGGTTTCTTTGCTGGCAGTTGTGCCAAAAAAAGAATTGATAAAAAATACATTTAATGGCTGGATGCAGCGGCTCACACCTGTAATCCCAGCTCTTTCTGAGACTGAGGAGGGAGGATCCTTTGAGTCCGAGTTCAAGACCAGCCTGGGCAACGTAGTGAGACCCTATCTCTACAAAAAATAAAATTAGCTGGGTGTGGTGGCCCATGACTGTAGTCTCAGCTACTGGGGAGGCTAAGGTGGGAGGATTGTTTGATCCCCCAAGGTTGAGGCCACAGTGAGCTGTGATCAAGTCACTGCATTCCAGCCTGGGAGACAAGAATGAGACCCTGCCTCAAGAAAAAAATGTTAAAAAAATAAATAAATAAAAATAAACGTTTTGGCCATGTGCGGTGGCTCACGCCTGTAATCCCAGCACTTTGGGAGGCCGAGGCAGGTGGATCACCTGAGGTCAAGGGTTCGAGACCAGCCTAGCCAACCTGGTGAAAACCTGTCTCTACTAAAAAAAAAAAAAAAAAAAAATTAGCCGGATGCGGTGGCGGCTGCCTGTAGTCCCAGCTACTTCGGGAGGCTGAGGCAGGAGAATCACTTGAACCCAGGAGACGGAGGTTGCGGTGAGCCAAGATCGCACCACTGCACTCCAGCCTGGGTGACAGAGCAAGACACCATCTCAAAAAAATAAATAAATTTGACATCTAAAATACCAAGTTGTAGCTCCACAAACAGGAAACAGCAATGCCTGAGTTTCTGGTTTGTGAAACTGAATTATATGAAATACTTAGGGTTTATATGCATACAGATGGTCCCGTGGAATGGTTCAACTCATATCTCCACTTTACCATGGTGCAAAAGCAATACGCATTCAGTAATTCGAGTACCCACGCAACCATTCTGTTTTCCACTTTGAATTCAGTATTCAGTAAGTTACATGACATAGTCAACACTTTATTATAAAATAGGCTTTGTGTTAGATGATGTTGCCCAACTGCAGGGGAGCTAAGTGTTCTGAGGACGTTTAAAGTTGGCTAGGTGCATTAAATGCATTTTCGACCTACCATGGGTGTATTGGGACATAATCCCATAGTTAAATTGAGGAGCATGTTATTTTATTTATTTATTTATTATTTTTTTGAGATGGAGTTTCACTCTTGTTGCTCAGGCTGGAGCGCCATGGCGTGATCTTGTCTCACCACAACCTCCGCCTCCCAGGTTAAAGCGATTCTCCTGCCTCAGCCTCCCGAGTAGCTGGAATTACAGGCATGCGCCACCATGCCTGGTTAATTTTTTTGTATTTTTAGTAGAGACGAGGTTTTCCCATGTTGGTCAGGCTGGTCTCGAATTCCCGACCTCAGGTGATCCGCCTGCCTCAGCCTCCCAAAGTGCTGGGATTACAGGGGTGAGCCACCACGCCCGGCCTCGGGCACGTTATTTTAAAAACACACCATCTCGGCGCGGTGGCTCACTCCTATAATCCCAGCACTTTGGGAGACCGAGGCGGGTGGATCACGAGGTCAGGAGATCGAGACCATCCTGGCCAACAAAGTGAAACCCCGTCTCTACTAAAAATACAAAAAATTAGCCGGGCATCGTGGCGGGCACCTGTGGTCCCAGCTACTCGGGAGGCTGAGGCAGGAGAATGGCGTGAACCCGGGAGGCGGAGCTTGCAGTGAGCCGAGATCCCGCCACTGCACTCCAGCCTGGGCTACAGAGCGAGACTCCGTCTCAAAAAACTAAAACAAAAATAAAAACAAAAAACACCATCTCAACTCCCTGACAATCTAAAGTTGGAACAGAAGCTTCTGATGTAGCCAGCCACCCAAATTCCCTTTTCACTTCCCTTTCACTCTGAAAAGCGCTTTTACTTTTAGTAGTATTAAAACTTCAAGAGCATTAGCCTCCCTAATAGTCCCTTTTATTCCTCCTATTAGATTATTTCTGTTCTTAAGAGGCAGCAGGAGGAGCCCTGTAACCAGCACGTAACCTTAGGCAAGGCCATGAACACGCCTGCGCCTGTTTCCTAACTTAAAGAGAAGCATTAGCCGGTCTCTAAGGTCCTGGAACTCCCGTCTGCTGTCGCTGGGCGTTCATTTGAAAGACAAAAGCGGTTCCGAAAGCACGCCCGGCGGTCCCTGCTCTGGGAGTGCTGACCTGCCTGTGTGCAGCACAAAACCGCTCCCTTCCGGCCCTCACAGCTAACCTGCAGTCCCCATCCCTCCAGCTTCCTTTCTGCCATAAATCACTAACTGTGTGGGAGATGAAATCCGCCTGGTGAAGGCTGGGACGGACAAAACACAGTATTCCAAAATCTAGGGCCCAAATCGGAGCCCTCGGAGACGCGGCCCCTAAAGCCAATGGGGTCCGGGGCGGCCCGGAAACTTCCGGGAGAACCGGACCCTGAGATTCTGGAAGGGCCAAATAGTGACCCTCTTCCCTAAAAATCACGGAAGAGACATGAAAACCACGGGATCTCCCTGGCAAACCTCAGGAGACAGCAGAGAACTGCGGAGCCGAGAAGGCGGGGCAAGAACTTCCGGGGTGGGGCTACGGCCGGGGCGCAGGGGTTGGCGGGCAGGGCCCTCGCCTCCAGCGACGCATCCACCCACCCCTGGGTCCGGCTCTACTGGGTTATCCTCGTTCCGCCGAGCAGGAGAGGCCGGGGGCGCCCGGGAGCTTGCAGGCGGGCGTGGGTGCTTGCGTTCTCTACTCGGGATCCGCGAGCAGGGCCAGCGAGAGGCCAAGTGTTGTGCCCTTCGCGACCCTCGCGTCTCTTAGTAACGCGATGAAGCTGCAGGAGCTCCCGGCTCCTTCAGGCCCCGCCCAGCTAGCTCAGGCCCCGCCCCCGGGAGTGGGCTTTTATGCGCATGCGCGAGGGCTGGGGTGGGCGCCGGCCCATCTTACTAAGCCAATGTAGGTCCCAGGTAGGAGCGCTGCCAGGGCTCACCCCTGAGCAGAGATGGAGGGCGAAAAAGGGTTACTTGCCGCTACTTGAATCCCAGACAAAATTCCCTGTGAAAGCGGATCACAGCACGGAGACTGTGTTTGTAGTTCCTGATAGTAGATATCTCCTATCTATTCATTTGCGAGGAATGAACCATTCCAGAGAGTCGCCATAGTGCCTGACAATCAGTAAACCTACAATAGATGATATCTATAGCTTTAATTATTTTTTCTAGCATTATCTATTACTATATTACAGTACTATCTAAGCGAAAAGTGATCAGATTCAAGATATACGGTTTTTTGTTTTTTTGTTTTTGTTTTTTTTTAGACGGAGTCTCGCTCCGTCGCCCAGGCTGGAGTGCAGTGGTGCTATCTCGGCTCACTGCAAGCTCCGCCTCCCGGGTTCACGCCATTCTCCTGCCTCAGCCTCCCGAGTAGCTGGGACTACAGGCACCCACCACCACGCCTGGCTAATTTTTTGTATTTTTAGTAGAGACGGGGTTTCACCGTGTTAGCCAGGATGATCTCGATCTCCTGACCTCGTCATCCACCCGCCTCGGCCTCCCAAAGAGCTGGGATTACAGGCGTGAGCCACCGCGCCCGGCCAATTTACATGTTTTGAATGTAGAGCCATCAGGACTTGTCAAATTGTTGAATGAAAGAAAGGAGCAATTGTGTGCTGGAGCCAGCTCATTAGAGCTCTGGAGACTCAGTAATTAAATTTTTAGGAATTTTTCTGAGCTCGTTGTTAAATACAAGCCATGAGCTGGAGTCAATGAAGATGACAAGGGCCTCGGGCACCTGCCCCAAACAAAACAAAAACACAAGACATATCACAAATTAAATTATATAAACTTCTAAATAAACGAGTCATACTAAAACAAAGGCAATACTTAGTAAAACTAAAAACAAAAAACTATTTACTTACAACTCCCAAATTTCTCTCTTCAGCCCGGTCTTTCTCTGAACTTTAGATTTGTATATCAATGTATATTCAACATCCACTTGATTGTACAAAACAACCTCCCCAAACACCTCCCTGCCAAAACAAAAACAAAAACCCTGCTCCTTCTTCATGTCTTTTAGTAGATGTGGCCTAGAGCCCTCTCTTTCCATATCCATCAATGCAACCTGCTGACTTTATAGCTTCTACTCAAGCCATCATAATTTTTCTTTTTTCTGGTAATTACAACCGTTCCCAACAGCTCTCTATGCCCCCTCTGTAGTCTGTTGTCAACACAACAGTCAATGCAATCTGTTTAAAACCTAAGTCAAGGCCGGGCGCGGTGGCTCACACCTGTAATCCCAGCACTTTGGGAGGCTGAGGTGGGCAGATCACGAGGTCAGGAGTTCGAGACCAGCCTGGCCAATATGGTGAAACCCTTTCTCTACTAAAAATACAAAAGAACTAGCTGGGAGTGGTGGCGTGCACCTGTAGTCCCAGCTACTCGGGAGGCTGAGGCAGGAGAATCGCTTGAACCCAGGAGGTGGAGGTGGAGGTGGAGGTGGCAGTGAGCCGAGATTGCGTCACTGCACTCCAGCCTGGGCATAGAGGGAGACTCCGTCTCAAAGAAAACAAAACAAAAAAACCTAAGTCAAATTATGTCAGTCCTCTGCTCACAACCCTGCAATGGCTTCCCATCTTATGGAGAGTGAAAACCAGAGGCTATACATGGTGAGCAAAGCCCTGTAAGATTTGCTCACAACACCCTCCCTCCTTCCTCTGTAGCCCCGGATCATTCTGCTGCAGCCACACTGGCCTAACACTGCCTAGCACACAGTAGGTGCTAAAGGGATATATTTTGAATCAGTATATTTCATCACTGCCCTTCCGATGCTGTGGAGGCAGCATGGCACGGTGGCTAGCAGTGTGTTGTCAGAGAGCACAGTGTCTAAAAGTGTGGTGGCCTTCTTGGATTTAAATCTGAGCTCTACTTACTATCAACATGACCCTGGACAAGCTACTTAACCTCCGTATCCTCAACTGGCAAATGAGGACAGAAAGTGTACCTATCTGATGGGCAGGTAGGATGTGAGGATGAAATAATGAGTATAAAACACTGATAACATCTGGAACTACATAAATGGTAGACAGTAATTACTTGCATTAGAAGGTACACTCCCACGTCCACAGGGATTTTTGTCTGCTTTTTTAGTTTTATTTTTTTGAGACAGGGTCTCTTTTGTCGTCTAGACTGGAGTGCAGTGGTGCCATCTTGGCTCACTGCAATCTCTGCCTCCAGGTTCAAGTGATTCTTGTGCCTCAGCTCCCAAGTAGTTGTTATTGTAGGTGTACCACCACACCCGGCTAATTCTTTTTGCATCTTTAGTAGAGCTGGGGTTTTGTCATGTTGGTCTTTAACTCCTGGCCTCAAGTGATCCACCTGCCTTGGCCTCCCAAAGTGCTGAGATTACAGGCAGGAGCCACCAGGATGGGCCACATTTTTTGTCTACTTTGCTCACTACTGTATCTTTAGTGTCTAAAATAGTGTCTGATACACAGTAGATGGTCAGTGAATGATTTGCTGAATGAATTAAGCTTCACCATCACATTTCCTGCAGTATTGCAGCAGCTTCCTACCTGAATTCCTGCCCCAGACTTCTTGAGTGTTGTGTTTTTTTGTTTTGTTTTGCTTTCGAGATGGAGTTTCGCTCTTGTTGCCCAGGCTGGAGTGCCATGGTCCAATCTCGGCTCAGTGCAATTTCCGCATCCTGGGTACAAGCAATTCTCCTGCCTCAGCCTCCTGAGTAGCTGGGATTACAGGCCCCTGACTCCATGCCTGGCTATTTTTTTTTTTATTTTTAGTAGAGACGGGGTTTCCCCATGTTGGTCAGGCTGGTCTCGAACTCCTGACCTCGGGTGATCCACCTGCGTCGGCCTCCCAAAGTGTTGGGATTATAGGCATGAGCCACCACACTGGCCCTGAATGTTCTTTAGACTCGAATCCAGTGGTTCTCAAACTTTAGGGTCCATCAGAATCACCTAGAAGGTGTGTTAAGCTGCAAACTGCCAGGCCCCACTCTCCCAGAGTTTCTGATTCACTAGGTTTGGTCTGGGCTATGCTTACCTATCTTGCCTATTTTCTATCCTGTCTTTCTCTTTGTCCTGACTCTATTTCCCTTTGTTTGTACTGTATCCATTGTGGAAAGAGGAGGAGATAAATAAGTGAGCAAATACATAAGATCACGAGCATTAACTTGACCTGCCTTTCCTGGAGCTCTACCGTGAGATTCTTCGGACACTAGACTCACAGCAGAATTTGTTGTTAGGTCTCCATAACCCTGCCAGGGCAGTTGTTCCCATGTGTTCTAAGACAAACCATCAAAGGTGTTGCCAGTAGTATACTAGCAGGATATTTTACCTCAATTAGTGATTATGTTGTGTATACCTTTCCATGTCACCCCTCCTCCCCCTCCTCAAGATTTCATGGAAATCTGTATTTGAATAGAACTCTGAGTATCATGGCTACAGGCACAAGCTGACATTCACTAGGGATGTCATTCTGTTTTGTTTTGTTTTTTTGAGACAGAGTCTCTCTCTGTTGCCCAGGCTGGAGTGAACTGGCATGATCTAGGCTCACTGCAACCTCCGCCTCCCAGGTTCAAGTGATTCTCCTGCCTCGGCCTCCCGAGTAGCTGGAGATGTGTGCCACCATGCCCGGCCGATTTTTGTATTTTTAGTAGAGATGGGGTTTCACCATGTTGTCCAGGCTGGTCCTGAACTCCTGACCTCAGGTGATCACCTGCCTCAGCCCTCCAAAGTGCTGGGATTACAGGCATGAGCCACTGAGGTGGGCTGGGATGGCATTCTGATTCCTGATTTCCCTGGTCAGAAATCTTTGTTCCTGGATTTGTTCTCACGTTACCTTGCGTCTCTGTGGAAGCATTTATTTGCCATATTCTGCAAACATGTTGTCGCCAGATAGATTGAATGCTACCCGAAGGTTTGTCACAGTGCTGTGCACAAAGTGGGACTTCAAGTGTTATGGAGGCCTGGAAAGCCAGGTACAATGGCTCACCCAGCACTTTGGGAGGCCGAGGCGAGCGGATCGCATGAGGCCAGGAGCTCGAGACCAGCCTGGTCAACGTGGTGAAACCCCGTCTCTGCTAAAAATATAAAAATGAGCCAGGCGTGGCGGCGCGTGCCTGTAGTCCCAGCTACTCTGGAGGCTGAGGCAGGAGAATCGCCTGAACCCGGGAGGCGGAGGTTGCAGAGAGCCGAAATCACGCCACTGCACTCCAGCCTGGGCGATAGAACTAGACCCCAACTGAATAAATAAATAAAATAAAGCGAAAGTGTTCTGGGTTGTTTGTGTTTAATTATACTAAGGAGATTTGATAGGAAGGAGCACAATAAATGTCATGGTGATTATTTGGTTTATTGTAATACAATAAAGGAAATACAATAAAAGGTTTAACAAACCTTTTCATAAAGTTGCTTTGGTTGTTAAAAAATTTTAGACCTTTCCTGCCATTTTTCTTTTTTTAAGTACATCATTCTAACTTCCTAAAAGTATAGCTCAAAAAGGTGGGGGCCCAGGGGAGAGGCCAGCAGCGAAGGCATTATTGGGATCTTATTTGCCCCAAGATCACGCAGAGATGATTTATTCAGTTTGTAGATTATATAAACGGAAGAGGGAATTAATAGTTCCTGAATCTACCATGAGTCAGATACAAACTTTCTCATACAACCCTCACGGTAATCCCACAAGGTTAGAAATTGGGAACAGAAGAGAGAGGGCGGGGAACTGAGCTCGGGTTTCAGGCTAGCAGCAGACAAGCAGGAAGCGGAACGAAGAATGATTTCTAAGCGCAGTTCCGCAGCCCACTCACCTCGTCGGCTGGGGCCACCTGCTCTGGGAGTTTCGATTTCCCTTCCCGCGACTGCACCTCCACAGACATGGGCAACGCCTTACCAGAGCAACACCTGTGTTTGTTGGGCGGGAATGAGCCTTGCACTGGGCAGGGCTCAGGGCCCATCGCGTGCAGCGAAGCGCGGGTGATTTAAACCCAAGCAGCGGGCGCCTAGAACCCGACCGGATGCTCCTTGACTTTGCCCCCGGTCTCCGGACTCCTCTGATTGGACGTGGCTGCGTTCGGCCGCCCAATGGCGAGGCAGCGCGCGGCTTCCCGGAAGTGGCGGCGCGGTCAGGGCTGGCCTTGGCTTCAGCTGCGGTTTTGGGGTCCCGGACTCTGGGATCGGCGGCGCTATGAGTTCTTTCGAGGGGCAGATGGCCGAGTATCCAACTATCTCCATAGACCGCTTCGATAGGGAGAACCTGAGGGCCCGCGCCTACTTCCTGTCCCACTGCCACAAAGGTGAGTGAGGGCTGCGCGTCGCCCGCTCCCGGGGCGCTGGGGGCTGGAGAGAGGACAGGAGGGGGCCGGCCCTGGAGCAAGGAGCTGCAGCCTGTGGGAAGCCAGCGAGGGGGCGGCCAGCACACGCCTTGTCCCAGTCGGGCTCTTCAGCCTCTCAAAGGCTTCATCTATTTTCGGATGTGGTCAACGCGGCGTAACGGCGCCTGCCAGTTGCGCCCCGGGCCGGCTTGGTCAAGCACTGCTAGTAGTTTCTCTTGGTAGCTTTGCTGGTGGCCGATGATCAGAGATTGGCGAGGGTTAGTACTTCCCTCAGAGCCTCGCTACCATGTATGAAGAAAACAAGTTTCAGATCCATTTGACCACACCCTCAAACATTGGTCAGCAAGCAGGAGACTCAGACACACACACAACTGTGGAACAGCCCGCCTAAGAGCTCCACGAAGTGCAAGCTCCTTGGCCTTTGGGTGTTCTGTCCGTATCCAATATGAAAGTTTCGTTCTAGTTTAGGTTGGAGGGATGTTTCCCTTCTAGATGGTATCAGGCAACCTGAAAAGCTACTATGATTTCACAGCTGGATCCTTTCACAGCTGGGCCGATTTAGGGATTAAGGTTAGAGTGTCGCTGATGCTCCAAGCAGAGATTGGAGCTAAGTTCCAGAGTTTAAATACCGCTAACTTGACAACCATTGTTCATTTTCACTTCTATTGTGCTAACAAGTCACTAACTTTTACCAGGGAAAACAGTTTTAATGCTCATTGTGCTAATTCGCCCAGCCATTAGTGTTAATTGGAGAAAATGATAAACGGAATCACTGGAGTTGCTGCCTCCTGCTGTGTGGCCTTGCAGCGTGCTGGAGCAGGAAGCTCCCACTACCCTGTGGAGTCAATCAGCGTAACAAACCTATCTGTACCTGCGCAGTAGGAAAGTATTTTAAAGTAAATTACAGGTATCCAAACACAGCCTTTCCTCACAGGGTTGGTGTGAAGGCCAGCTATGTTGTTTTGTGTGTGGAATCAATCACTTGGACTATAAATCGTTGAAGTTACTGCTTCTGCGAAATGTCTCTGCTTTTTTTTTCCACAAAGCCACCAGTGATTTCTCTTTAATGGGAAAATCTGGACCTCTTCTCGTGCGTTGCCGTATTCGCATCGTGCACGTCTTTGAGCATCTCCTTCTTCTTTTTCTTTTTTTTGGAGACAGGGTCTCCCTTTGTCGCCCAGGCTGGAGTACAGTGTGGCACATGCTCTCTGCTCAAGTAGTTGGGACTACAGGAGTCAGCCACCATGCCTAGCTAATGTTTGTATTTTTATTATTATTTTGAGGTGGAGTCTCCATCACCAGGCTGGAGTGCAGTGGCGTGATCTCTGTTCACTGCAACCTCCGCCTCCTGGGTTCAAGCGATTCTCGTGCCTCAGCCTCCCAAGTAGCTGGAGTTACAGGCACGCACCACCACACCCAGGTAATTTTTGTGTTTTTAGTAGAGATGATGTTTCACCATGTTGGCCAGGCTGGTCTCGAACTCCTGGCCTCAGGTAGATCCACCCACCTCAGCCTCCCAAAGTGTTAGGATTACAGGTGTGAGCCGCTGTGCCTGACACATTTCTGGTTTTGTTTTTCATTGAGAATCCACTGCTGGACGAGGATATGCCTATTTTTACTTTTTGTGTAGAGCCGCACTGGAGTCTCTGAACTCAAAATGGGCTAGCCAGGATTAAAGTATACTTCCGAAACTTGCACTTCGTGTTTAGGATGGCTGAGTTTGGAGAAATAATAAATCTAAAGGAATTTGAAATCATCATAAGTTTGTGCATTAAGCCAGAAATGGACTCTTCCCTACTGTTGAACAGTCTATAACAACTTTTTCTGTTCTCTGACCACATGTGGATCTGCTTAGTCAACCAGGACATAAACTCATCAAGGGTGAAAACACAACTTCTGCTTTTGGAGGTTTCTCACATTGCCTTCTGTTGGCTTTTCACCTTTTTGGGACACAGGCTTCTTTGATTATGATATGGACTATCTCCACAAAATTCATATGTTGAAGCCCTAACCCCCAAAGCGACTGTATTTGGGGCTGGGGCTTTTAGGAGGAAAATAAGTTTAAGTGGGGTCCTACCGTGGTGTCCTACTCTGATAGGATTAGTTTCCTTACAAGAGAAGGAAGAGAGAGGGCGCTCTGTCCTCATGCGGGGCCTAGGAAAGCCATGTGAGTGCATAGTGAGAAGGCGGCTGTCTGTAAGTTAGGAAAAGTGCCCTCTCCAGAAACCAAATCGCCCCGCATCTTGATCTTCCCAGCTTCCTGAACTGTGAGAAATACCTTTTTGGTGTTGAAGGCAACCAAAACACTACCTTTCCTTACAGCGCTGGTGTGAAGGCCAACTATGGTATCTATGGTATCTTGTGATAGCAGCTCAAACATGAGAAACTGTATGGACTCTTTTGCTAGAAAAAATGCATGGAAACCCATCCACATCACTTCCTTTTTTTTTTTTTTTTTTTTTTTTTTTTTTTTGAGACAGGGTTTTGCTCTGTCACCCAGGCTGGAGTGCAGTGGTGCGATCTCGGCTCACTGCAGCCTTCACCTCCTGGACTCAACCAATCCTCCCACCTCAGCAAGTACTCCCACCTGAGTAGTTGGGATTACAGACATGCACCATCATGCCTGGCTAATTTTTCTATTTTTTATAGAGAGACAGGATTTCCCCATGTTGCCCAGGCTGGTATCGAACTCCTGGGTGCAGGTGATCCACTCACCTCAGCCTCCCAAAGTGCTGGGATGACAGGTGTGAGCTACCACACCCAGCCCCACATCACATTTTGATATAATTCGGAGTAGGCTATGGACCCACCTGATGCTTATTTGTGGGCCATCTGGAAGCCAATGCTGTGTGCAGGGTGGGCTTTACTAAGCATCATCAGTAAGTTCTGAAAGATGAGAGGGCCCCCCGACCCCTGAGACCTGAGATAGTGGCCCAGGGTTGGGGAAATCCCCTAGAGGGGACAATTTATGATGGTTGCCAAGGAAAAGGAAAACCTCCCTGGAAAAGCAGACCTGGGTGCAGTTCCAGCCACACAAAGCAAACCCATCCAGTTCTTGTGACTACCAGCTGGAAGGGGCCTCAGGGTGGTGAGGATGGGGGACCATGATGCACCATGCAGGGTGCTGCCTGCTTAGTCAGTGTGGGAGCAGGATGCAGAGTCTGCATTCAGCCTCCTCTTTGCCATGGCGCAAACTCTTTGGAAACTCCAATTACGGAGAATGCTGCCCAGGGATATACCCATAGGCCCTAAAAGACTGGACCAGATATCCCTTGAGGGAATTTACCCAGTGGGAGACAGGTGGACTCTCCTGGAGGCATATATACAATCAAGGGCTGCCAAGTGACATGTGGTGACTGCTCTGCTTTCACTGGGTCTAATGATGGCCACACGACATATAAATTGAGGGGGTGCTTGTGTGTGTGTGTGGTGGTGCTCGTGGTAATTAGAATTGGTTTGGTTTAGCTAAGCAATTTATTGTTCTTGTTTTTTTTTTTTTTTTTTTGGTTATTATTTATTTTTGAGATGGAGTTTCACTCTAGTTGCCCAGGCTGGAGTGCAATGGTACAATCTCAGCTCACCGCAACCTCTGCCTTCGGGGTTCAAGCAATTCTCCTATCTCAGCCTCCCAAGTAGCTGGGATTACAGCCATGCGCCACCAGCCCCAGCTAATTTTATATTTTTAGTGGAGACAGGGTATCTCCGTATTGGTCAGGCTGGTCTCGAACTCCCAACCTCAGGTGATCCGCCTGCCTCGGCCTCCCAAAGTGCTGGGGTTACAGGCATGAGCCACCGCGCCCAGCCGTTTGTTTGTTTTTGAGATGAAGTCTCACTCTGTCGCCCAGGCCGAAGTGCAGTGTTATGGCCTTGGCTCACTGCAACCTCTACCTCCCATGTTCAAGTGATTGTCCTGCCTCAGCCACCCGAGTAGCTGGGATTATAGGGGTGTGCTACTATTCATGGCTAATTTTTGTATTTTTAGTAGAGATGGGGTTTTACCATGTTGGCAAGGTTGGTCTTGAACTTCTGACCTCAGGTGATCCGCCTACGTCGGCCTCCCAAAGTGTTGGGATTACAGGCAAGAGCCACCATGTCCAACTGGTTTAGTTAAACAATTTAGAGCTGTTTGATCATTGTTGTCTGGGCCTTTACTTGCTAAAGATTCAGAATATATTGGAATGCATGATATACTTAATGTAATAGTCGGTCTAATTGCTACCTTTCTGTTGTCTGTGTCTGTTAATGTGGAGCGCTGTGGAGCAAGTCTTTGTGGATAGTAATATTCCCCTTTCAATCCATCACAGTAGGCTGAGAAGATGACGAAACACTTACTCTGAACCTGAGTGATTTCCCAGCAGACTCCATGACCACGAACTTGAATTTCTAGATAGACTGATTTAAGTGGCAGAAAGTGAATGGGTCCCATAGAGCTTGGCTCGAAGGATGGTTGGATTGAAATGAAGTAAGAGTGGAGGGCTAGAAGCAGTTCTCATTCTTCTGTGGCTGCCCAGAGTGATTTAAACTCTGGCCTATGATGCACAGAATCACTCTCCTTTTAAATTGACTTGGATGGCTCAGAAATGGGCAGCCGGTCCTGTTCTGAGGAGGATTCTTCACTTGCAGAAGAAAGAGCTCATAGCCCATGTGAATCAATTCTTATAAAAGCAAACCTCATGGGTTTTCTCTTGAAGCTGAAAAAGAAGACGACTGTTTCCCTTGGGCTAAGGAATCCTCTGGAAAAACATATTCATGAGTTTTTGTTCTTTTGTTTTTAGATCACATGAAAGGATTAAGAGCCCCTACCTTGAAAAGAAGGTTGGAGTGCAGGTAATTTATTTTGCTACTTGTGTTTTTAAGCAAACATTTTAATTGAGAGATAACAACTGTACAGAAAAGTATATACATCCAAGCATATAGTCATTTACAAAATGAACGCATCACCCAGATTAAGAAATAGGACAGTACCAATATCCCAGACCCCTCTTACCTCCCAACTCATTCCCTCCTCCCAAAGGTAACCTCTATTCTGACTTTTGTCATCATGGGTTAGCTTTGGCTGTTTGTGAACTTGATATATATATATATATATATAATCCTACCAAATACACTCTCTAAAAACAACAACAACAACAACGACAGCAACAAAAAAAACAGAGATGGAGTTTTGCTATGTCGCCCAGGCTGATCTCGAACTCCTGGCCTCAGGTGATCCTCCTGCCTCATTCTTCCAAAGGGCTGGCATTATAGATGTGAGCCACTGGCACCTGGCCCCAAATATACCCTTTTATATTTGTTTTACTTTACTTAACTTTGTATTTGTGTGATTTATCTATGCTGCTAGGTACAGCAGTAACTCACTCCATGTTATTTCTGTAAGAGTATATGAGAGAGAATGGCTGTTCCATTGTAAAGGATCATATAATACTGGATTTTTTCTTAAAGCTGAACTGTTAGATGCTTCTCTTGCAGCCATTGCCTACATCTAAATTCCCCCTTCTCAAGATACATATTTGAAAAGGGCCAGTGGATGTCAGGCTTCTCTGCTAATTGATAGCAATACTCTGTCTTCTTGATAATGATAGCTAACGTTTATTGAATACTTACTGTATCTTGGCACTGTGTATTTTTTGTTCAACAATTTTTTTTTTTTTTGTAGAGACGGGGACTTACCATGTTGCCCAGGCTGGTTGTAAACTCCTGGCTTCAAGTGATCTCCCATCTTGGCCTCCCAAAGCCCTGGGCTTATAGGCATGAGCCTTTGCACCTGGCCAATAATTTTTTATTACTTTATTTGTATTTACTTATTGACTTTTGTGACAGGGTGTTGCTCTGTCGCCCAGGCTGGAGTGCAGTGGCACGATCTCAGCTCACTGCAACTTCTTTTCGAGTGATTCTTTTGCCTCAGCCACCGGAGTAGCTGGGATTACAGGCACCCACCACCACGCCCAGCTACTTTTTGTATTTTCGGTAGAGAGGGGTTTTACCATGTTCGCCAGGCTGGTCTCGAACTCCTGACCTCAAGTGATCTGCCTGCCTCAGCCTCCCAAAGTGTTGGGATTACAGGCATGAGCCACCACTCCTGGCCTCAGTAATTTTTTTTGGTCACCTGTGACATGTCGGGCATTGTACTGGAGGTGGAGAATGCATTAGTGAGCCACACAGATGCAAGGCTCTGCACACTTGTACCTGACATTGTCATTAGAGCTTCTTGATAACCTTTTGAATAGATCCTACTATTATTTCTATTTTACAGATGAGGAAACTGAGGAACCAGAGAGGTTAAATTAGTTGCCCAGTGTCACACAGCCAGTAAGTGGCAGGACCAGGATTCCAGCCAGGTCTGTCTGATTGCAGAGCCTATGTATCAGTCATCTGCTGCTGCGTAACAAATTACTTCAAAATGGAGTGACTTAACACTGATCATGTCTTATTGCTCAGTTTCTGTGGATCAGGGATTGACAGGGTAGAATGGGAATGGTTTCCCAGCCCAGGTATCAAACATCAGTGAGCAGAGTCTTCAGATGTCAGCCCCTTAAGATCTGAAGACTCCCTTATCCATGTCTGATACCTGGGCTGGGAAAACTCACACAGCTAGGGGCTAGAACCATTTGGCATGTTTTTTTGTTTGTTTGTTTGTTTGTTTGTTTGTTTGAAACAGAGTCGAACTCTGCTGCCCAGGCAGGAGTGCAGTAGCGTGATGTTGGCTCACTGCAATCTCTGCCTCCCAGGTTCAAGCAATTCTCCCAGCTCAGCCTCCCAAGCAGCTAGGACTACAGGCACGTGCCTCTAAGCCCAACTAATTTTTTATTTTTCAGTAGAGATGGGGTTTCACCATGTTGGTCAGGCTGGTCTCAAACTCCTGACTTCAAGTGATCTGCCCACCTTGGCTTCCCAAAGTGCTGGGATTACAGGCGTGCGGCATCTCTATCTCTAAAAGTCTCTTTAGGCCAGGCGTAGTGGCTTAGGCTTATAATCCCAGGCCTTTGGGAAGCTGAGGTGGGAGGATGACCTGAGCATAGGAGTTTGAAACCAACCTGGGCAACGTAGGGAGACCTCATCTCTGCAGAAAATAGGAAAAATGAGCCAGGTGTGGTGGCATGTGCTGTAGTCCCAGGTGCTCAGGCTGCTGATGTGGGAGGATAGCTTGCATTCCAGCCTGGGTGACAGTGAGCTCCCCTCCCCCTAAAAAAAAAAATCTCTTTAGCGTGAGTCTGTCAGGATGGCCAGACCTGTTAAATGGAGACTCAGGGTTAAAAAGCGTATGTCCTAAGAGAGAGCTAGGAGGAAGTTGTACTACCTGGAGATCTAACCTCAAAAGCCATGCAATTACTTCCACCGCATTCTATGGTGAAGGTAATTACAGAAAACTGCCCAGGTTCAAGGGGAGGGAACATAGACCCCGCCAGTCAGTGGAGGAATTTTAGTATCTATTTTGTAAGGAGAGCATGTATGGATGGTGTATGTCATTGTGTGGCCATCTTTGGAAAATACAATCTACCGTAGACTATATTCCTAACCTCAAAATGATAGCGTTAAGTTTTAAAAGTTTATTATGGTCTGGGCGCGGTGGCTCATGCCTGTAATCCCATCACTTTGGGAGGCTGAGGTGGGTGGATCAGTTGAGGTCAGGATATCGAGACCAGCCTGGCCAACACGGTGAAACCCCATTTCTATTAAAAATACAAAAAGTTAGCTGGGCGTGGTGGTGCGCATGTAGTCCCAGCTACTCAAGAGGCTAAGACAGGAGAATCGCTTGAACCCGGGAGGCGGAAGGTTGCTTTGAGCCGAGATCGCGCCACCGCACTCCAGCCTGAGTGACAGATCAAGACTCCATCTCAAAAAAAAAGAAAAAAAAAGTTTATTATGAAATTAATTTCTGTTCATTAAAAAAAAAAAAAAAGAATAGGCCGGGCGCAGTGGCTCTCGCCTGTAATCCCATCACTTTGGGAGGCCGAGGTGGGTGGATCACCCGAGGTCAGGAGTTCGAGACCAGCCTGGCCAACGTGGTCAAACTCCATCTCTACAAAAATACAAAAATTAGTCCGGCATCATGGCGCGTGCTTGTAATCCCAGCTACTCGGGAGGCTGAGGCAGGAGAATCGCTTGAACCTGGGAAGTGGAGTTTGCAGTGAGACGAGATCACACCATTGCACTCCAGCCTGGGTAACAGAGCAAGACTCCATCTCAAAAAAAAAAAAAAAAAAAAAAAGAATAGACTTATACAGTAAAAAGCAGAAGTTTCTGTTCTCAACACACCTTTTCCAGAGGTAGTGTAATGTGTGGCGGTATCTTTCCAGACACACCTGATCACATACAAGCGCGTATTTCCAAGTAACAATGGTGAGGGACCACTGTTGGAGGAGGTCCAGGGACACCGTGTTTCCACCCCCACCTTGTGCTCTTGGTGGCACTGAAATGGTGTGCATAGGTATGTTGAGAGTGACTCTAACAGATTTTGTGCCAGCGTAATTTCTGAATTATTAGATGTATGATGAAATAGATTTCATAACCATGCCAGGCTAGTATTTGTGTTTTTATTAGGGATGGGGTTTCACCATGTTGGTCAGACTGGTCTCAAATGAAATTATTAGATGTATGATGAAATAGATTTCTTAGTCACCAAGATGGCTCATTTTGGATTGTACTGAAAGTTTTTTTCTTTTTTCCTTTCAGCTTGAAGGTTTATCTATACTGTTCACCTGTGACTAAGGAGTTGTTGTTAACGAGCCCGAAATACAGATTTTGGAAGAAACGAATTGTAAGTTTTATTTTTTTAATAACTTAATTTTTTTTAAGTGGGAAGTATTTTTAGAGGTAGATTGACAAAAACTTTGCCTCAGTTTGTAACATACTTCAGTTATCCACATTAATTAGAATATTGAGTCTCTGGCCGGACATGGTGGCTTACACCTATAATCCCAGCACTTTGGGAGGCCTTGGCGGATGGATCACTTGAGGTCAGGAGTTCATGACCAGCCTGGCCAACATGGTAAAACCCTGTCTCTACTAAAAATACAAAATTTGGCCAGGTGTCGTGGCACACACTTGTAGTCCCAGCTACTTGTGAGGCTGAGGCAGGATAATTGCTTGAACCCAGGAAGCAATGGTTGCAATGAGCTGAGATCACGCCACTGCACTCCAGCCTGGGCAACAGAGTGGGACTCCATCTAAAAAAAAAAAAAAAAAAAAGAAAAAAAAAATTAAGTCTGTTGGCATTGAACAATATGGCAGAAGTCAACATTTGGTAGTTGTTGATATGTTTTCCTTCTTCCTCAAGAGTGAGATCTAGGTCTCAGTTTTGTTTGCTTAATCTCATTGACCCTCTTGCTAAGATGCATTTTAATATTTTCTATTTTTTGTTTTTGAGATGGAGTCTCGCTCTGCTGCCGAGGCTGGAGTGCAGTGGCTCAAACTCGGCTCACTGCAACCTCTGCCTCCTGGGTTCAAGTGATTCTCCTGCCTCAGCCTCCCAAGTAGCTGGGACTACAGAATCCCACCACCATACCCGGCTAATATTTGTGTTTTTAGTAGGCAGAGGATTTCACTGTGTTGGTCAGGCAGGTCTCAAACTCCTGACTTCAGGTGATCCACCCACCTTGGTTCCACCCACTTGGTTCCAAGTGGATCCACTCCCAAAGTGTTGGAATTACAGGTGTGAGCCACCATGCCTGGCCACATTTTAATATTTTAGAGTGTAAAGTGTTCATTAACATAATTGCTAAATCCTTTTATTTAAATTGTGGGATAGAGTAAGAAAAATAAACAAATTACAGGCTGTCATAAGGAAGGGATGACAGCTAGAAGAATACAGATAGAATGGGTAACTTTCGGTCTGGCAGAATAAAATGCATCTGTCCAATATGAGGTAGTCAAGGGGAGGAAAAAGTCTGGTGAATAGAAAATGCAAAGAAGGCAGAAAAAGTCCAATTATATATGACTATATATAGGAAAGGATTTAATTGTACCTTTGGTCAAAAGACAAATTCTCAGTTTAAGTTAAAAAAATCAGACAAATCTGGCTGGGCCCAGTGGCTCACGCTTGTAATCCCAGCACTTTGGGAGGCCGAGGCGGGCAGCTCACCTGAGGTCAGATAGAGAACAGCCTGGCCAACAGGGCGAAACCCCGTGTCTACTAAAAATGCAAAAAATTGGGTGTGGTGGCGGTGCCTGTAGTCCCAGCTCCTTGGGATGCTGAGGCAGGAGAATCGCTTGAACCTGGGAGGCGGAGGTTGCAGTGAGCTGAGATCGTGCCACTACACTCCAGCCTGGGTGACAGAGCGAGACTCCATCTTCAAAAACAAACAAAAAAGTTAGACAAATTCATGAGTATTAGTCTATAAGAGACATAGATAAAACAGAAGGATAAATACAGGTTGAAATTTGAAATTTTGGGGGAAGAAGAAAAAATTACTAACCAATCAGAAGGCCAAAATGTCAGAGTGGCAGTTTTTAATATCAGAAAGTAGACTAGAAGGCAAAGAAAGACAAGGTTTGAAGAGGGTGTCACTGTTAAAAGGAGCCATGGGTCATATGGACGTATGTGCAATTGACAAAATAGCATCCAGCTGAAGTAGAAACTGCGAGAACCTGTCACCCAGTGCTTGATCTGAGGAGAACCACAATGACTTAACAGAATGTGGGTTCATTACATGGATTAGTTCTTAAATCATTGTGGGAGTTGGCAGAGCAATTTGTCCCAGTGTCACAAAGAGTCTGTTTACTTTTTTTTTTCCTTTTTTTGAGATAGTCTCACTCTGTCACAGGCTGGAGCGCAGAGGCGTGATCTCAGCTCACCGCAACCTCCATCTAACCGGTTCAAGCAATTCTCCCTGCCTCCGCCTCCCTAGTGGCTGGGATTACAGGCCTGAACCACCACACCTGGCTAATTTTTGTATTTTTTAGTAGAGATGGGGTTTTGCCATGTTGGCGAGGCTGGTCTTGTACTCCTGCCCTCAGGTGATCCTCCCGCCTCGGCCACCCAAGGGCTGGGATTACAGGTGTGAGCCACTATGCCGGGCTTCTGTTTGCTCTTAAGCTGCTTGCAGCCAGTGCCTCCCTCCTACCCACATTTGGGCAAGCTGACAAAAAGGCCCATGCCTGCCTTAGCACTAAGGCGAAGTTCAAACCAGGCATGTCCAGGCCCAACCCGCACCAAAGTGGAAACCAGGGCTACTTGCTCCTACTCTCTCTTAAGCCACAGGAAACACTTCTGTCCCCAGCTCAGGGACTGCACTGCCCTCCCCGAAAGTCCTGTGATGTGACTGAAGTTTTCTTCTCATTCTCTGTCGTGTGTGTGCTCGCGTGTGTGTATGTGCATGCGTGTGTGAGTATGCACACATAGTGTGTGCACGTGTGTTTGTGTGCATGATATCATCCACCTCCACATCTGACCTTTGATTGAGAAGGGGATTTGTCCTCCCTCTGCAGAGCAGTCACAACAGCAGGGTTGTTCCTGTTGTCTCTGGCATTCAGCTTGAAGTTACTACAGGTCAGCCCGGCCAGCAGTCAGGAAGGAAAGCTGGAAGAGAAGTGGAGGGGAACAGAGACAAACTGGAAGGCAGAATGGCCCACTAGGACAGACCGAAACCCACTTCTGTCTCTCACTTCCTCTGGCCTCAATAGTGCTGGTCTCCCGCTTTGGCTCTGAAGCACATGCACCTGCCCCAGGACTCGGAGGAGCTGCACACGGGCACCCAGCAGAAGCTGATGTTGCTGCGGCCCTGCCCCAGACTCTGAGTTAAGCCAGAAGGTCAGCAATGTTCACTAGCTGTTACCATTTCTGGCGCCCTTCAGAGCATTAAAAAATCCCTACTAGTTCACATCTGCCTTCTTAATGTTTACTGTGGGCAACAACATGGAAAGGGGTTCTAGGAAACAGTTCCAGCTTAGGTGAGTTGACATAGTACAAACAAGGCCACGGCAGAATCAGGGCAAGAAATAGGAAATCAACAATTGTCACTGAAGAGCTTAACATGCCCCTCCCAGATGCTGAAAGAAGGAGGCAGGAAACAGGATGCAGAAAATGTGTGAATGTGGACTAATGAACAGAACTTTAAACCCAAGGAAGAAAATAGTATTTTGGGGGGTGCTCATGACACTTACAAAAACTAACCATGTACTGTGTCACAAAAGAAGGCAATGATGTTGGAGATCAGAAACAAAGGGACAGCTAAAATCTTCCCATACACGTGGAAACTAAATGCATACAATAACTGACCCTTTGGTTAAAAAGGAAATTGTACGATAAAGAAAACATACAATATGTAGAACTGATATGGCTAGGCTTGGGGGCTCTCATGTGTAGTCCTAGCACTTCGGGAGGCCAAGGTGGGACAATTGTGTGAGTCCAGGAGTTCGAAACCGGCCTGGGCAATACTGCAAAACCCCATGTCTACAAAAAAACCTTAAAAACTAGCCTGGTATAGTAGAGTGTGCCTGTAGTCCCAGCCACTCAGAAGGCTGAGGCAGAAAAATCACTTGAGCCCCGAAGTTTGAGGTTATAGTGAGCCGTGACTGTGCCACTGCACTCCAGGCTGGCTAACACAGCGAGAGCCTGTCTCAAAATAAATAAATAAATAAAGGAGCTGATGGACAATGGAAATGTGGCATGTCAGAATGTGTGGAACATAGCTAAATTTGTCCTTGAAGGGAAATTGATAGCATTAAATAGATATATTAGAAAAGAGGACTAGCTCAGTGGCTCACACCTGTAATCGCAGCACTTTGGGAGGCTGAGGTGGAGGGATCACCTGAGGTCAGGAGTTCGAGACCAGTCTGGCCAATATGGTGAAACCCCATCTCTGCTACAAAACATTAGCCAGGCATGGTGGCGGGTGCCTGTAGTCCCAGCTGCTCAGGAGGGTGAGGCAGGAGAATTGCTTGAACCTGGGAGGCAGAGGTTGCAGCAAGCTGAGATCGTGCCACTGCGCCCCAGCCTGGGCGACAGAGCGAGACCCTATCTCAAAAATAATAAATGGGGAAAAACCCATTTCATACATGAAAATGTAAGAATCCTCATAAAGACAGTAACTGAATCTAGCAGTGTTAAATAGTACATCATGAATAAGATGTTTCATTCCAGAAATGCAAAAATACTTTAACACCCAAACCTTAGACACTGTAAGTTTTAGGACATTAGTGGACTAAAAAGGTGAAAAATCACATTGATCTATTCATCAGATACTTACTGAATGCCTCTTATGTGCTAGTCTCTGTTTTGATGGCAGGGGGAAATGTACCAGGGAGCGTTCGGCAGCACTTAGAACCAGTGCATGAGGCTGGGTGTGGTGGCTCACGCCTGTAATCCCAGCACTTTGGAAAGCTGAGGCAGTTGATCCTGAGGTTAGGAGTTGGAGACCAGCCTGGCCAACATGTCAAAACCCTGTCTCTACTAAAAGTACAAAAAACTCAGCCTTGCGTAGTAGCGGGCGCCTGTCATCCCAGCTACTTGGGAGGCTGAGGCAGGAGAATCGCGTGAACCCAGGAGGCGGTGGTTGCAGTGAGCCGATACCACACCACTGCGCTCCAGCCTGGGTGACAGAGCGAGAATGCATCTGAGAAAAAAAAAAAAAATAAAAGAACCGTGTATGAAGCATCCATGTCACAGACCCATCCAGACTGTGTTCTGAGGCACAAAAGTTAGGACACAGGACCACGTTTTTACAAAGACTCAGAATTCAGAGAGAGAGGGGAATGGGAGTGGTAGGGATGGGGAGATGAAGGAGGAAAAATGAATTCATGGAAACAGAATTGTGTCAGAGGATTATATGCATTTACAAGGCGTTTACTCCGTATTACCAAATCTGCCTCAAGACAGGTATTATTTTCTTTACAATTTTTTCTAACTGTTAAAATATTTATTACAATGTAATCGGAATTGTTTATATAGAGAGTCTGAAACTTCTCTTTGCCCCATTTCTGTGTTTCAGACAGCAAAGGCATATAAAGCCATGAAAAACTGCTATATACATGGTCTCTTATTTTATTTTTATAGATATCTATTGAAATCGAGACTCCTACCCAGATATCTTTAGTGGATGAAGCATCAGGAGAGGTAACTAAATATTAAATATTGATTTTTTTAAAAAAATGTGGTGCTAAAATGATTGTTTATATTTCTCTTTGATTTTGCAGTCAGATGCTCCACCCCTCAGCTATACCCTCAATCTTTCTCTTTGATTTTGAATGCTCATTTAACCATAAATAAAAATCTAGTCATTGAGTGGGGTTTTAGGGGCAAAAAAATCCCTTTGTGATTGTGTAAGTCCATTTGGGCTGGACTCACAAAACTACCGTAGACTGAGTGGCTTATACAATAGACACTTGTTGCTTAGGGTTCTAGAGACTGGAAATCCAAGATCCAGTCTCCAGCAGATTTCGTGTCTGGTGAGGGCCCACTTCCTGGTTCTTTTTTTTTTTTGAGACAGAGTCTCACTCCGTCACCCAGGCTGGAGTGCAGTGGTGTGATCTTGGCTCACTGCAACCTCCACCTCCTGGGTTCAAGCGATTCTCCTGCCTCAGCCTCTCTAGTAGCTGGGATTACAGGCGCCTGCCACCACGACCAGAGCCCAGCTAATTATTGTATTTTTAGTAGAGAAGGGGTTTCACCATGTTGGTCAGACTCATCTTGAACTCCTGACCTCAAGTGATCCGCCTGCCTTGGCCTCCCAAAGTTCTGGGGTGACAGGCGTGAGTCACTGTGCCTGGCCACTTCCTGGTTCTTAGATGCTGTCTTTTTCCCTGTGTCCTCCCATAGTAAAGGGGCAGACAAGCTCCCCTGGGTGTCTTTTATAAAGGCACTGATGTCACTCACAAGGCTTCTATGCCCAATAACTAATCACCTCCCAAAAGCCTCCTAATAAAACCACTTTGGGGGTTAGGATTTCAACATAGGAATTTTGGGGAGGGACACGAACATTTAGTCCTTAACAGTGATGTATTTATTTCCCATGTTGTAAAGGATTGGGCATGGCTTATTTTTTGTCACATTTGTTCCTTATTACATGCTAATGATGGGAACCCTGGTGTTGATATTACTACATGATGTTATTGTCACATTTACTGAGTTTTATAATGCTCAGAATTTAAAATGGTGATTAATATTTTTGCAGGTAATTCATGAATATTGTACTTTTTTTCTGAACCCTTATTCAGAAAAGGGGCTCTGCCAAGTGGAAAAAAATTATTTTTCATCATTAAATTTTGAGGTAGTACTTTTGTGAATGTATGGTTTTAATAAGTAGGACTATAGACATACAGCCCCCCTTTTTTTAACCTTTACAGCTGGTAGGTATTTTCCTATTTTGGTTAATATTGGCTTTGTTGCTTGATTATAGCACACTGCTTTGCCGTGTTTAACTTTGAGGGTGTGTTGTGTTGTTGAACAGAAACTGACCTTTTCAGATATTTCTTCTTTGGTGAAGATCAGACAGTTGAAGTTGAAGTATTCTTCCCATCAAATTATCCTGAGGGAGGACTACAGAGCCAGTTTAGTGAGGATTAAAAAGGAAAAAAAAAATAGGTGAACCTTTGTAAATGCCATCCTGGACTCTGCCAACTGCTTTTCCGGGGAATACTGTGGTGGTCTGTGGCCTTGTCACAATCAGGGATATTGGTGAAAGGCATTCCCTGAACTGGGGGCCGACAGCAGGCTGACTTTTGAGCAGTCCTGCCACCACTTTGATTTTTTATGTTTCTTCCTGTGTGCCATGACTTTTATGCATTGTTTATCCAGCTCCAACCAGGGGGAGACCCACTCGAAAGGGTCCTCCAGAATGAATGGAGACTTCCATGAGGAGTCCCTGTCACTGAGCAGTGACCTGGTGTGTGCAGAGCTCTCCCCACTTACTGATGGCTGGAGAGGCAGTAGTGCCTGCAGGTCTTGCCCTTGCCGAACAGTATGATGTGCAGTGTGAATCGGGACCAGGCCTCATCCAGGCTTTAATCTTTTTTTTTTTTTTTTTTTTTTTTGAGACTGAGCCTTACTCTGTCGCCCAGGCTGGAGTGCAGTAGGGCGATCTTGGCTCACTGCAACCTCTACCTCCTGGTTTCAAGCGATTCTCTTGCCTCAGCCTCCTGAGTAGCTGGGATTACAGGTGCTGCCCACCACCATGCGCAGCTAATTTTTGTATTTTTAGTAGAGACAGGGTTTCGCCATGTTGGCCAGACTGGTCTGAAACTCCTGACCTCAAGGGATTCGTTCACCTTGGCCTCCCAAAGTGCTAGAATTACAGGCATGAGCCACCGCACCTGGCTCAGGCTTTAAAAATTGTTAAATAGTGGCCGGGCTTGGTGGCTCTCACCTGTAATCCCAGCACTTTGGGAGGCCGAGGCAGATGTATCACTTGAGGTCAAGAGTTCAAGACTGGCCTGGCGAACATGGTGAAACCCCATCTCTACTAAAAATACAAAAAATTAGCCAGGCGTGATGGCAGGCGCCTATAATCCCAGCTGGGGAGGCTGAGGCAGGAGAATTACTTGAACCCAGGAGGCAGAGGTTGCAGTGAGCCAAGATCACACCATCGCACTCCAGCCTGGGTGACAGAGTGAGACTCCATCTCAAAAAAAAAAAAAAAAAAAAAAGTAAATAGCTTTATTGAGATAGAAATCGAGTCACACACTTGTGTATCCATCACCACAATCAATTTCAGAATATTTTCAGCACCCCAAGGGAAGAAGCCTTTAGCGATCGCAATCCCTCCCTATTCTCTCCTTCCCCAACCCCCGGCAACCACTACTGTATTGGACTCTCTGTCTCCATGGGTTCACCTATTCCGGATATTTCATATGAGTGGAATCATACAACATGTGTTCATTTCTTATCCGGCTTCTTTCACTGAGGATGTTTTCAAGGATCATCCATGTTGCAGCACGTGTCGGTTCTTTTTATGGCCAAATAATATTTCATTGTATGGCTAGACCACATTTTCCTGATTGATGCATCAGCTGATAGACATTTGAACTGGTTCCACCTTTTGGCTAGTATGAAGAATGCTGCTGTGAACAGTCAGGCACACATTTTTGTGTGGCCATCGGTTTTCGCTTATCTTGGTTCTATAACTAGTGGTGAAATTGCTCAGTCCCATGGGAATTCTGTTTGTTGAGTGGACAAGGATTCCACTTGTTTCTAGGATTTGGAGTGTGAGGAAATTGGGAGAAAAGGCACATTGTTAAAAGGTACATAAATGTGTTCTGTGAAGGAGGGCTTTGTTGAGCTAGGTCCTAATGATAACTGCTTTCCATTACTATTTTTTCTTTATTTTCTTTTTAGAAGGAAGAGATTGTTGTGACTCTCTTACCAGCTGGTCACTGTCCGGGATCAGTTATGTAAGGGGGTCATTTATTTTGTCATTTTATTATATGTAGACACATATTGTATTTGTAGAAATAAATTTTTAGGGTCTAAAATTAATAGGGGGCTGGGTGCAGTGGCACATGTCTGTAATCCCAGTGCTTTGGGAGGCTGACGCGGGAGGATTGCTTGAGCTTGGGAGTTGGAGGCTGCAGTGAGTTTTTTTTTTAAAAAAAAAAAAAAAAAGAAAGAAAGAATACATAGAGGGAGATTTGATTTTTTTTCTAGTCATTTAAAACACATTTGTTCCCAAATTGAACTAGGGGGACTGAGGTGAAGATCAGATTTGAAACGTTTCTTATAAAATGGAAGTCTTCATGGCCAGGTGTGGTGGCTCACACCTGTAATCCCGGCACTTTGGGAGGCCAAGGCAGGTGCATCACTTGAGGCCAGGAATTCAAGACCAGCCTGGCCAACATGGTGAAACCTTGACTTTACAAAAAGTATAAACATTAGCCGGGTGTGGTGGCACACCCCTGTAGTCCCAGCTACTGGGGAATTGCTTGATCCCAGAAGGTGGAAGTTGCAGTGAGCCAAGATTGAGCCACTGCCTTGCAGCCTGGGGGACAGAGCAAGACTCTTATCTCAAAATAAAAATAAATAAATGGAAGTCTTCAGCAGCTGTTTCCCCAGTGACCTTGTATTTTATCATCACGTGTATTTCTCTCTCCATGAGCAAGAATGATCTCAACATATAATTGAAAGTGCTAACATATCACAAGGAACATCTATTACAAACTGGGTAGCATCTCCATTCTGTTATTTTCTACCCGAGGGAAGAGGTGACAGCTGAGTGCCTGGTGTGGTTCAAATTACTGTGGAATTCCATTACCATTGTATTGTAATGGATATGTTTGCAGGAAGCATTTAGTATGCAGCTCACATGTATTTGCTTTATTGGGAGTTTATATGAGACTCAGAAGTCACTGGGATATATTTCTTTTTCAGGTTTTTATTTCAGGGCAATAATGGAACTGTCCTGTACACAGGAGACTTCAGATTGGCGCAAGGAGAAGCTGCTAGAATGGAGCTTCTGCACTCCGGGGGCAGGTACTGGGCCTCGTATAGGTTTTATTTTATTTTATTTTATTTTTGTGAAATGGAGTCTTGCTGTGTCGCCCAGAGTTCAAGCGATTCTCCTGCCTCAGCCTCCCAAGTAGCTGGGATAACAGGTACGTGCCACCACGCCCAGCTAATTTTGTATTTTTAGTGGAGATGGGGTTTTGCCATGTTGGGCAGGCTGGTCTTGAACTCCTGACTTCAGGTGATCTGCCCCCCTTGGCCTCCCAAAGTGCTGGGATTACAGGCATGAGCCACTGTGCCTGGCCTCTTGTACAGTTCTTCTGTGTATGACTGAATAAAGTTTTATTGCTCTGGCCGGGTGTAATCCCAGCACTTTGGGAGTTCTGGCCTGTAATCCCAGCACTTTGGGAGGCTGAGGTGGGTGCATCACTTGAGGCCAGGAGTTCGAGACCAGCCTGGTCAACATGGTGAAACCCCGTCTCTACTAAAAAATACAAAAATTAGCAAGGTGTGGTGGCACAAACCCATGATCCCAGATAGTTGGGAGGCTGAGGTAGGAGAATTGCTTGAACCCGGGAGGTGGAGGAGGTGGTAGTGAGCAGACATTGCACTTCAGCCTGGGCAACAGAGCGAAACTCCATCTCAAAAAACAAAAAAAGTTACACATAATTTATATCACATTGGATGGCTAACATCAATTTTTTTTCTTTTCAGAGTCAAAGACATCCAAAGTGTATATTTGGATACTACGTTCTGTGATCCAAGATTTTACCAAATTCCAAGTCGGGTAAGTCTGCCTGGAGGAACAGGGTTATCATCTGGGTGTGCCCGTGTTTTTAGTAGGAAGTTTGTAGGGTGACAGGTCATATCCTAACTGTCCCCGTAGGTGTGAGTACCTGGGACTGTTGGGAAGGAAAAGGCTATGTGCGGCTCTCCACCTGTTAAATGTCTCTTTAAAATCCTGTCTAGGAGGAGTGTTTAAGTGGAGTCTTAGAGCTGGTCCGAAGCTGGATCACTCGGAGCCCGTACCATGTTGTGTGGCTGAACTGCAAAGCGGCTTATGGCTATGAATATCTGTTCACCAACCTTAGTGAAGAATTAGGAGTCCAGGTATGGTGACTGTTCATTCTTTTCTTTTCTTTTTTCTTTTTTTTTTTTTTTTGAGAGGGAGTCTTGCTATGTTGCCCAGGCTGGAGTGTAGTGACGCGACCTCGGCTCACTGCAGCCTCCACCTCCCGGGTTCAAGCAATTCTCCTGGCTCAGCCTCCTGAGTAGCTGGGATTACAGGCGTGAGCCACCATGCCTAGCTAATTTTTGTATTTTTAGCACAGACGACATTTCACCATGTTGGCCAGGCTGGTCTTGAACTCCTGACCTCAAGCTATCTGCCTGCCTCGGCCTCCTAAAGTGCTGGGATTATAGGCCTGAGCCAGTGTTCCCAGTCTGTTCATTCTTTTCTCTTGCTCCCTTCCATCCTCCCAGCTCACCTTTCCTCCCCCTCCTCGCCTGCTAAATAACTGCAAACAGGGACAGATGGAAGCACCCTAACAAGACGTGTCTGCAGCAGAGGTTCGCGGGCCCTCTGAAGGAATATATCATCTTAGTTCAGTCACATCCTCCTGGGAGAAAATTGACAGAAGCCAAAATGGCTTACAAGAGCCTTCAGTGAAATGCCGCATAGACAAAGTATTTTTCCCAAACTTTGGGTCATGAAATAAATTTAGTGATTGTGACCAGCATTGAAAATAAATTTGAACAAGGAGATATGGCAGTGGATTATTTGCAGTACATGCTCCTCTGTTGTACATCATGTATATGCCTTTAAGGTGATTCTTGATTTTTTTTTTTCTTTTTTGAGACTGTCTTGCTCTGTCGTCCAGGCTGGAGTGCAGTGGCACGGTCTCAGTTCACTGCAACCTCTGCCTCCTGGGTTCAAGTGATTCTCTTGCCTCAGACTCCCGAGTAGCTTGGATTACAGGCCTGAGCCACCATACCTGGCTAATTTTTGTATTTTTAGTAGAGATGGGGCTTCACCATGTTGGCCAGGCTGGTCTCGATCTCCTGACCTCAAGTGATCCACCGGCCTCCGCCTCTCAAAGTGCTGGGAATACAGGCATAAGCCACAGCACCTGGCTGAGGGTAGATGATTCTTGATTGTTTTTGTCTGTGTGGATTACTGCTTTATTCCCAGCATTTAGAATAAAGCTCGACACATAGTAGGTGTACGAGGAATATTAACTGAATTTCTCTTGAAGGACTGAAGGACAACATTAACATCATTAAATGACATCCCTGAGCCGAGTGTCCATAATTGTTCACTGACGTCAGTGATGGCAGCGATCCTGGCCAGTCAGCCTTGTGCCTGTTGACATGCTGGCGGAATACCAGAGTGCACTGAATAGCCAAAAACTACTTTTCAAGAAAGAAGAGAGGGTTAATTCACTAACTGGGTGTTTTGCCCTGAGTAATTAACCTTGAACAATTTATAGGAAATACATTTCACATAATTTGCATGTATGTATTATTTGCCTTAGGTTCATGTGAATAAGCTAGACATGTTTAGGAACATGCCTGAGATCCTTCATCATCTCACAACAGACCGCAACACTCAGATCCATGCATGCCGGCATCCCAAGGTACGTGTGCAAGTGATTCCTCTCGTATTGTTTGTGTAATCTATGAAAAAGAAGAAAGGTCAGGGCTTCCATTTATAGGCTCTTCGCTTTACAAATGTAAAACCTGAGGCTGCAATCCTAAGTTGTTAGCTCAAGGTCATGGAACTGTACATTGCCATATTCCATGACCACACTTTTCGTCACTAGTAAATAGACACAGATCTGTACTTTTTTTTTTTGAGATGGAGTCTCACTCTGTCGCCCAGGCTGGAGTGCAGTGGTGCGATCTAGGCTCACTGCAAGCTCCGCCCCCTGGGTTCACGTGTTCTCCTGCCTCAGCCTCCTGAGTAGCTGGGACTACAGGCGCCCGCCACCATGCACGGCTAATTTTTTGTTATTTTTACTACAGACGAGGTTAGCCATGTTAGCCAGGATGGTCTCAATCTCCTGACCTCGTGATCCGCCTCCCTCGGCCTCCCAAAGTGCTGGTACTACAGGCGTGAGCCACCACCCCCAACCAGATCTTTATAGTTTTCTGATGAAATCTATTCATACACGTTTGATAATTCAAATTTATTTGTAATGAAATCAGTAATATATTATAGCTTATAACTTAAACATTTGTGCTATTTATATATGTATTTATATATTTCGAGACATTCTCCTTCTGTTGCCCAGACTGGAGTGCAGTGGCCCACTCTTGGCTCACTGCAGCCTCCATCTCCTAGGTTCAAGTGATTGTCCTGCCTCAGCCTCCTATGTAGCTGGGACCACCGACATGCACCATGACTTCTGGCTAATTTTTGTAATTTTATTGATTTATTTATTATTTATTTATTTTTGAGACGAGCCTTGCTCTGTTGCCCAGGTTGGAGTGCAGTGGGGCCATCTTGGCTCACTGCAACCTCTGCCTCCTGAGTTCAAGCGATTCTCCTGCCTCAGCCTCCTATGTAGCTGGGATTACAGGCATGCACCACCATGCTTGGCTAATTTTTGTAAGTAGAGATGGGGTTTCGCCATGTTGGCCAGGGGGGTCTTGAACTCCTGATCTCAAGTGATCTGCTCTCCTTGGCCTTCCAAAGTGTTGGGATTACAGGCATGAGCCACTGCGCCCATCCTGTGCTTTTTGAGACTCATGACATGAGCGTGTTTATAAACTTTTTCTTCTACTTGAGATAAATATCTAGACATAACTTTTTTTCACACTTTAAAATAGTTTCATGTCTTGATGGTCCTATTTCTAATGGATGTTTCCAGTGTCTTTGCAAGTCACATGTCATTTGTCTTCTTTTGTTTTTTGTTGTTTTGTTTTTTTGTTTGAGATGGTCTCACTCTGTGGCCCAGGCTGGAGTGCAATGGTGCCATCTCGGCTCACTGCAAGCTCTGCCTCCCACATTCAAGCGATTCTCTTGCCTCAGCCTCCCGAGTAGCTGAGATTACAGGCTCCCGCTACCACACCTGGGTAATTTTTGTATTTTTAGTAGAGACAGGGTTTCACCATATTGGCCAGGCTGGTCTCGAACTCCTAACCTCGTGACCACACACCTTGGCCTCCCAAAGTGCTGGGATTACAGGCATGAGCCACCACACCCAGCCTCATTCGTTTTCTAATGCCAACACAGAACCTCCTTCTCTTGTCAAACGCTGAGTACAAGACTTTCATTTTGAATTTGCTTTAAAAAATATTGTTTCAATTAAAATTATTAAGGCTAATTAGTGATCTTTAAATGTAGTGGTTTGAGTGATCATTATTTTTCTCTAAATTTTAAAATACCTTAGCATTAAATCCTGTGTAATTTTTAAAGTAAACATTGCATTTATTCATTTAGATCACTATTATTGTAGTAATAATGGTTCCATTAGCCAAAAGCCTAGTTGCCTAGCCCTTACGATAAAGCATAATTTCAAACAAGAGAGAATTCTGATCCACAGCATGGAATGTTTTCCTGTAGGCCACGGTGAGAGCTGCAGTGTAAATTATTTTTGCTGATTGGTAAGCTGCATATTCTATGTTGCATTCAGGGATTTATTTCTTCACTTTGTGTGCATGTATGCACATATAAATACACATATATATTCACATATACAGACACGTCCAGTGGATTCTTGGATGGATAAAAATGTATACATAAAACGTAAACCGGCCGGGTGTGGTGGCTCATGCCTGTAATGCTAGTGCTTTAAGAGGCCGAGGCGTGTGGATCACTTGAGGTCAGCAGTTCGAAACCAGTCTGCTCAGTGTGGCAAAACCCCGTCTCTAGTAAAAATAAAAAAATTAGCTGGGCATGGTGGTGTGTGCCTGTAGCCCTAGCTACTAGGGAGGCTGAGGCATGAGAATCACTTGAACCTAGGAGGCGGAGGTTGCAGTGAGCCAAGATGTCACCACTGCACTCCAGTCTGGGTGACAGAGCAAGACTCTGCCTCAAAAAAAACAAACAAAACCCATAAACTTAGTGGCTCACATCTGTAATCCCAGCACTTTGGGAGGCCAAGGCAGGTGGATCGCTTGAGTCTAGGAGTTCGAGACCAGCCTGGGTAACGTGGTGAAACCCCGTCACTACAAAAAATACAAAAAAAAAAAAAAAAAAAAAAAAAAGGTGCTGAGTGTGGTGGTGCATGCCTGGAGTCCCAGATACTTACGAAGCTGAGGTGGGAGAATTGCTTGAGTTTGGGAGGTGGAGGTTGCAGTAAGCCAAGATTGTACCACTGCACTCCAGCCTGGGTGACAGAGTGAAACCCCGTCTCAAGTAAATAAATAAAACATACACCTTTTTGTCCCTTTTTCTGTTGGACTCATAGTATTGGGCCCCTTGCCCCATAAATCCTTGAATTGGCAAATTTCTTTTTGCTGTGAATTTTCTCACATCCCACAAAGTAGCTTAGTTAGTAATTCCTTTGCTGTCAGGGCTACTTTCCTTGAGATGCTATTTCTAGCCGCTTAAAAGATTTTTTTAGGTCACGCACTCCTTTAGAATATTAACAGGTAGGTCCACAGCTCATAGAGTCCACTCTTAACTCTAATCTGCACCTTCCTAAGAAACAGCACCAAAGGCACCCCAAAGAAATTTGAGTGGGATGGAACGTTAATGGTTTGGAAGGTTCTGGATTTCAAAATAATGACTTTGGAAAAGTTGTCCCATTTTTTTTCAACCTTTTGAAAACACTTGTATTTGTTAGTTTTTTTCCCTCCAAATTTATTTTGAAAACTTTTTAATTTGAATTAATGAATTTATTTTATAGAGTCTTGCTCTGTCACCCAGGCTGGAGTGCAGTGGTGCAATCATTGCTCACTGTAGCCTCGACCCCCCAGGCTCAAGTGATCTTCCTGCCTCGGCCTCCTGAATAGCTGGGACTGCAGTTGTGTACCACCCACCTGGCTAATTTTTACATTTTTTTGTAGAGATGGAATCCCACTATATTGCCCAGGCTGAGATCTTTTTTTTTTTTTTAATTAAAAAAAAATGGTTTTTTGAGATAGAGTTTCGCTCCGTTGCCCAGGCTGGAGTGCAGTGGCGCAATCTGGGCTCACTGCAATCTCCACCTCCTGGGTTCAAGCGATTCTCCCGCCTCAGCCTCCCAAGTAGCTGGGATTACAGGCATGCGCCACCATGCCTGGCTAGTTTTGTATTTTTAGTAGAGACAGAGTTTCACCATGTTGGTCAGACTGGTCTTGGACTCCTGACCTCAAGTGATCCACCTGCCTCAGCCTCCCAGAGTGCTGGGATTATAGGCATAAGCCACCACAACCGGCCCTGAAAACTTCTTAAACAGTAAAGTTGTAAGACTGGTACAAGGGTCTGGGCCCAGTGGCTCTCGCCTGTAATTCCAACAGTTTAGGAGGCCAAGGTGGGCAGATCTCTTGAGGTCAGGAGTTCGAGACCAGCCCAGCCAACATGGTGAAATCCTGTAACTAAAAATAGAAAATTTAGCTGGGTGTGGTGGTGTGTGCCTATAATTTCAGCTACTTGGGAGGATGACACATGAGACTTGCTTGAACCCAGAAGGCAGAGGTTTTAGTGAGTTGAGATGGTACCACCACACTCCAGCCTGAGTGACAAAGCGAGACTGTCTAAAAAAAAAAAAAAAAACACCATACACCCTTCGTTTGGATTTGCTGCGTTGCCAACACTTTGCACCTCTCTTCCTCTGTCTCTGTACTTATAACCAACTCCCCACTCCAAACCAATTGAGAGTAGTTACAGACTCCATGGTACGTCACCCCAAATCCTTCAGCCTGTGGCTCTTGAGAATAAGAACATTTTCCTATATAACCACAGTACAATACCCTTCCTCAGAACATTTTGTGTTCATATAGTACTATTAGCTGTTACACAGTCCGTGTTCAGATGTCCCCAGTTCTTCCCATAGTGTCCTTTATAGCTTGTAGAATAGGGGGACAGGGGCATCCAGGATTTATTTGAGGGTCGTCCATTGCGTTCAGTCAGGTCTAAAGGGTCTCCTTTGATATATAGATCGTTTGTCTAGCCTTTTGCTTGTCTTCACATTGATGGTTTTGAAGAGTCCAGCCCAGTTGTTTTGCACAATATTCCCCAATTTGGAATTATCTGATTGTTTCTTCATGTCTACATTGTTTTGCTGCTTTTTTTTTATTTTTTATTTTTTCGTGTCTGGAAACTTTTCTACTTTTGTTTTTGAGACTCTGCCTACAACAGATTTGTAGAAAATGTAGAACTGTTTTTCTATGCTTTTTATCTTTTTTAGGCAGAGGAATATTTTCAGTGGAGCAAATTACCCTGTGGAATTACTTCCAGAAATAGAATTCCACTCCACATAATCAGCATTAAGCCATCCACCATGTGGTTTGGAGAAAGGAGCAGAAAAACAAATGTAATTGTGAGGTAAGAGAGCAATATCATAGGTCTTCTGAGAGAAACTTTGAGTAAATTGTCTGATTTAATTTCATTTAAGCACAGTCTAGCCTAAGCCCAAGAATATAATTATATATTATAATTAATTTCTTAAATTTAAATTTTATTTAAATGGAGGGGATGCTACTCCCAAACCAGTTACACTCCCATCAGCTGGTGTATCCTGAGGTTCCCTCTGGGTAGGTTGATGAGATGGTTGGAGACTGAAGGCATCTGAGTGCTTGGCTTAGAGTAACAAATTGATGTCATACAGAACAGAACCCTTGGTGGAGCAGAGGAGTGACTATCATGATCACAATATTTTAGCAATATTTCCTTAACTTTGGCTGTTTAAAATTTCTGCAACAGGTCCCTCCCTCCCTCCCTCCCTCTCCTCCATCCCTTCTTCCCTCCCTCTCCTTTCTCCCCCCCCACTCCCTCCCTCCCATCTGAGTGCTTGGCTAAGAGGAAAAACTGATGTCAGAGAGAACAGAACCCTTGGTGGAATAGAGGAGTGACTATAATGATCTTAATATTTTAGCAACATTTCCTTAACTTTGGCTGTTCAGAATATCTGCAAGAGGTCCCTCCCTCCCTCCCTCCCTTCTTTTTTTTTTGTGTGGAGAAAGAATCTCACTCTGTCACTCAGGCTGGAGTGAAGTGGTGTGATCTCAGCTCACTGCAGCCTCTGCCTCCCGGTTCAAGTGATTCTCCTGCCTCAGCCTCACTAGTAGCTGGGATTACAGGCATGTACTACCACCATGCCGAGCTAACTTTTTGTGTTTTCAGTAGAGACAGAGTTTCACTATGTTTGCTAGGCTGGTCTCGAACTCCTGAGCTCAGGCAATCCGTACGCGTCGGCCTCCCATAGTGCTGGGATTATAGGCGTGAGCCACCACACGCGGTCTACAACAGGTTTCCACTTCTGGAAAAGGTTCCCTGCTATCCCAAGAAGAAATTCCTGATTTAGGGTGATTTCGACACTTGCTGCTGAAGCGAGCCCATTAGAGTGGTTTCATGCTAGAATAGCCTAAATGAGAAGGGCCAGCTTTGCTTAGTTTTAGTTTTGCTCAGTGATCTTTTTATTTTGTGTTTTCACTTCCCTTTAGGACTGGAGAGAGTTCATACAGAGCTTGTTTTTCTTTTCACTCCTCCTACAGTGAGGTAAGAGGATCCCATATACTCATAACCCTTATCGCTCAGTGTTCTGCAGCCTTGGTAGTTGACAGGTAGTCCCCTGACTCTCAGAAGCATCTCTGTTTCTATGTAAGTTTCATTTCCTTTTAGTTTTTTTTTCCTAAATGCAGTTCATCCTCATTATTCATGGATTCCTTTTTTTTTTTTTTTTTGGTTGAGACAGTGTTTTACTCTGTCGCCCAGGTTGGGGTACAGTGGTGTGTTCTCGGCTCACTGCAACCTCTGCCTCCTGGGTTCAGGTGATTCTCCTGCCTCAGCCTCCCGAATAGCTGGGACTACAGGTGCCCACCACCATGCCCAGCTAAAATTTTTGTATTTTTAGCAGAGACAGGGTTTTACCACATTGGCCAGGCTGGTTTTGAACTGACGTCAGGTAATCCGTCTGCCTTGGCCTCCCAAAGTGCTGGGTTACACGTGTAAGTCACTGCACCTGGCTTCATGGATTCTATTTTTATGTGTTGGCCTACTCACTGAAACTGACCTGTGACCTCAGTATCAATATTTACAGTGCTTTTGTGATCCTTTGTGGACTTGTGGAGAGTGGTGAAAATTTTGAATCACCTGACGTGCACGTTCTCGGCTCAGGTAGAACAAGGCAATGCTCTGCCTTCTTTCAGCTCTTACTCTGTCAACAAGTGTATCAGTCTGTTCTCCTGCTGCTCTAAGGACATGCCCGAGATGGGTATGAGGAAGGAAAGAGGTTTAATTGACTCATAGTTCCGCAGGGCTGGGGAGGCCTCAGGGAATTTACAATCATAGCAAACACATCCTTCTTCACATGGCGGCAGCAAGAAGTGCAGAGTGAAAGTGGGGAAAAGCCCCTTATAAAACCATCAGATCTCGTGAGAACTGTCATTAGAACAGTATGGAGGTAGCCACCCCCGTGATTAAATTGCCTCCCACTGGTCCCTCCGACACATGGGGATGATGGAAGCTACAGTTCAAGATGAAATTTGGGTAGGGACGCAGCCAAACCATATCGAAAGTTTCCTTTTTGCCATCTATTAAGTGCCATGTTTTTCATATTTTTGTGCTTTTTGTTGGTGATCTTATTTAAATGGTGACCAGTCATAATACTGAAGTCCTATCGAGTGTTCCTAAGCACGGGAGGACTGTAACGTGGCTTCTAGAGAAAATATGTATGTTAGATAGGCATGGGTTATAGGGCTATTGACCATGAGTTCAATGTTAATGGATCAAAGTGTCTATTAAATAAGGTGTCTTTCAACAGAAACACACATAAAACAAGGTTATGTATTAATTGGCTGGTGAAAACGATGTCACCAAAGGATGGCAGGAACCCTGTATTTTCCCTAGCAGCAATGGCTCAGTATTTGCTAATTCAGCATTTATGGTGACTATAATTTATAGAGTATAACTACTGTGAATAAAGAGAATTGGCGCTATTGATGCCTTATTTTAAGGCAGGCATTTGATAAAAGGGAGTCAACTTATATAAATGAGAGGGGGTGCTCCTTTATTGGGTGTCTCTTATCTCCTTGGGGCCATTTCATCTCTGAGAAGTAGTAGTGAACCATTTCTGGTATAGGCTTGACTTTACTTTTTTTTTTTTTTTTTTTTTTTAAATCCTTTATTCCCTTCAAAAGTCTCAGATTTCTACCAGCCTCAGCTTTGTGCAAATCAAATCGGTGTTGGGCGGGCAGGTAATGATTTCTATTTGCATGCCTCCTGTGAAGGTACAAAAGATACTGTTTGTGAAAACTATTTAAAGAATAGATCTTCCTGCCTTTCCACTGTCTTAAAGTAGCCCTTTTATTTTTATGTAGAGTTATTGGCAATTCTTGGGTTTCTGCCTCTTTCAGTTTGGTGGGATACTAATAATTACATTGGGTTCTAGTCTGTCCATTTGCAGAAGGGCATAAAAGTCTTTGTGTTCTCATTATCAACTTAGTAATGGATGATTTTTTTTTTAATTTTTTAATTTTTATTTATTTATTTTTTTGAGATGGAGTCTCGCTTTATTGCCCAGGCTGGAGTGCAGTGGCGTGATCTCGGCTCACTGCAACCTCCGCCTCCCGGGTTCACACCATTCTCCTGCCTCAACTTCTTGAGTAGCTGGGACTACGGCGCCCACGACCACACCCAGCTAATTTTTTGTATTTTTAGTAGAGACGGGGTTTCACCGTGTTAGCCAGGTTGGTCTCGAACTCCTGACCTTGTGATCCACCCGGCTCGGCCTCCCAAAGTGCTGGAATTACAGGTGTGAGCCACCACGCCTGGCCTGGATGATTTTATTGACTGTTTCACCAGATACCAAGCTAAGCACTTCACATGCATAATCTCATTTATACTTTTAAATGAAGAATCTAAAATTAGAGACATTAGGTAACTTGACTGAGATCACAAGCTCACCAATGTCTAATAAGAGACAAAGCTGAAGTTCCTCTAGGTTGTAGAGATGTTTTGAGGAATAGTGACAGAGTTCCTCTGTTTAGCATTCTGAACTTTGCAAAAAGTCAAGGTATTCATGAAGTTTTTGCATGTAATTGTTTGTTTAGAATTAATCATTGGGAGAGGCAGTCTATGTGCACAGTCTTTCAACCCTCACTGGCCACATAAGAATGGGACACTTCCTTATTGAGAGAGAGCGCACGCGAGTGAGAGAGAGCAAGCACTCCCGTTAGCGTGAGCACACAGCCTGCGGCAGCTCAGTACCTTGTGTGGAAACATCTTTCTCTGCTTCGTACTTGATGTGTGTCCCTTTGTTCTACTTAAGCCTGTGTGTCAATGGCCCTTAGGCACACCCCAGCTGTCCTTATTTCAGACAGCATGATGGGGGTTCCTTCCTGTGTGGCAGGAGAGGGTTGCATGTAGGCAGGTTGCCCTGTGTTGGCTGCAGGGAGAGACACACTGGTCACTGGAGACCAGTGCACATTGTTGGATTTGATCTTGCTTGGTCTTTTCTCAGTAAGTGAAGCATTGCTCCCTCCAGTGCTTGACTGCATTGTGTTTTCCTTGGTGACTCCAACACCAAGGTACAATGGGCAGTGTTTGGATCCTTCCCTGGAATCAGTGACGAATGCATGGTGTTCTGCCCAATGAGAATGAACCATTTGAACAAATCAAGTAACCTCAAAGGTGTAATTCTCTTGGCATCGTTAATGATTATTGGTAGGAGTAAATAAGTGCAATTCTTTTGTTGTTCTTTTTTGGAGATGAGGTGTCTCTGTGTTGCCCAGGCTGGCCTCAAATCCCTGGGCTTAAGCAATCCTCCTGCCTCAGCCTTGAGTAGCTGGGATCACAGACATGTACCACTGTGCCCAGCTAAGAAATGCAATTCTGAGACCTTGGGTTTTTGTGTATATTATAGTTAATGCCCAGCTAAATTCTAACTTATTTGAAAAGGGATTTGTTAAACATAAGCAACTGACCTTCTTGGACAAGGAAAGCAATATATTAAAAAAGAGAAAAAAAAAAGAATCTTTGAGTCCCATTGGTGATTCTCAGCTCTTACTGTGGATCAGAATCACCTGGGGAATATTTAAATGTACTGATTTCTAGGCCCACTAGTACTCAGTGTTCAGGAGATCTTTGGGAGTGAGGCCCAGGCATTGGATATTTTTTTCCCAAGAGGTCCCTGGTGATCCCCACGTGCAGCCAGCATTGAGAACCACAGCCATAAGAGAGTTCTGCTTCTCTTTCCCCAGCCTCCCTTTATCTCCCCTAACAACCTGTTTCATCGTAGAGATTGTTGATCCATGTGATTTTCCTTTTTCTAGATTAAAGATTTCTTGAGCTACCTCTGTCCTGTGAACGCATATCCAAATGTCATTCCAGTTGGCACAACTATGGATAAAGTTGTCGAAATGTGAGTAGTCACTGGTTGTGGGACTTGGTGTCCCCCTTGGTGGCTCTTGGCTAGGACACAAAGGAGAGTTTGCCTGAATGTTTACAAGTCTAGAATCTGTTTGTTTTGGGACATTTCTGAACTGATACTCATTTCCATTTTTTCCTGGAGTGTTTCCTTTAGTTCCACAGTGTGGCAGAAGGTATAGGTAGTGTTGTCAGCTTCTCCTGGGTTGCAACCCAGCTCCGCCACTTACTAACAGTGCAGTGTGAGCTTGGCCAGATCACTTCTCTGAGCTAGTCATTCTGAATCAGCAAAATAGGAATATTGATGCCTACTTGTTGGTCTTCTTAAAAAAGAAAGAGATGATACAGGGAGATAGTGTAAGAAAAGCACCTAGCACCATGCCAAGTAGGTTGTCAAGTGTCTACTGAATGGATAACTGAAGCCAAAGGAGAGGTGCAATCGTATTCATGGATGTCTTTTACTACAGTATTACCATTTTCTTACCTCTTCTTTGGGTTTCATTTATGCATTCATGAATGATTTTTTTTTTTTTTTTAGACAGGGTCTCACTCTGTCACCCAGGCTGGAGTACAGTGGCATGATCTCGGCTCACTGCAACCTCCACCTCCTGGGTTCAAACGATTCTCCTGCCTCAGCCTCCCGAGTAGCTGTGACTACAGGTGCATGCCATCATGCCCGGCTAATTTTTGTATTTTTAGTAGAGACAAGGTTTTGCCATGTTGACCAGGATGGTCTCGAACTCCCGAGCTCAAGTGATCCACCTGTCTCAGCCTCCCAAAGTGTTGGGATTACAGGCATGAGCCACTGCACCCGGCCCATGAATGATTTCTTTAGTGCCAGCCATATGGTGGGAATGGAGCTTGGGTTCCAATTTGCCTAAGACACAGCCTGTCCTAGCAGAGCTCCAGTCTCACGGAGAGGCCGGGTGCAAAGGCAGCACACAAGCTCAATGGGTGCAGAAGGAATGAGGCCCCGTGTCAGGGAATCTGCTTCGCAGACCCCGATGGGGACAGACAGGACCAGGCTTGCAGATGTCGATGGAAAGGAGGATGGAGAATCTCTGGAGAGAGGTCTGGGTTGGAGACACAGAATTGGAGTTGGCAGTGCAGGTGAGAACTAAAACCATGAGAAAAGAAGAAGTCACCAGGAGTGGGAGGAGGGATCATAGAGCTGAGGCCAGAACCCTGGGCAGCACATTCAAGGTAGAAGTGAAGGAGGAGAAGCTGGGCCAAGATGGAGAGAGTGGCCCAGACAGCGGGATGAGAGCAAAGGGAAGGGTAAGCAGAGGGTGCCCATGGAGTGTCTTGAGAAGTCAAATAATATGGGGACTACCAGGTGTCCCGTTTCCTTGGTAATTAGGTCATTTGTGTGTGCTCAGTGAGAGCAATTCAGTAGACTTGTGAGTTACAAGCCAGATTTCAGTCGAGAAATAGGTAAAAAGTGAGGAAATGGAAAATACTGAGGACAGACTATATAAAAAGTTTGACAGTGAAGGGAAAGTTAGAGACAAGATGGCAACAGGAGGCAACAGAATCAGGAGGCTTGATCTTAAAATAGCTGAGACTTAAATATGCCTGTAGAACTAAACTTGAATATACATAAACTTGGATGTGTTTAGGAATCACTTCAGGTGCTTGTTTTTTTTTTCTTTTTTTGAGATGGAGTCTCGCTCTGTCACCCAGGTTGGAGTGCAGTGGCGCGATCTCGGCTCACTACAAGCTCCCCATCCCAGGTTCACACCATTCTCCTGCCTCAGCCTCCCGAGTAGCTGGGACTACAGGCGCCCGCGACCACGCCCGGCTAATTTTTTGTATTTTTAGTAGAGACGGGGTTTCACCATGTTAGCCAGGATGGTCTTGATCTCTTGACCTCTCGTGATCTGCCCACCTAGGCCTCCCCAAGTGCTGGGATTACAGGTGTGAGCCACCGTGCCCAGCCGAGGTGCTTGTTAAAATGCATATTCATTCCTTATCCTGCATCTTTTTTTTTTTTGAGACAGAGTCTGGCTCTGTCACCCAGGCTGGAGTGCAGTGGTGCAACCTCGGCTCACTGCAAACTCCACCTCTTGGGTTCAAGCGATTTTCCTGCCTCAAGCCTTGTGAGTAGTTGTGATTCCAGGCGCCCACCACCACACCTGGCTAATATTTGTATTTTTAATAGAGACGGGGTCTTACCATGTTGGCCAGGCTGGTCTTGAATTCCTGACCTCAAATGATCCACCTGCCTTGGCCTCCCAAAGTGCTGGGATTCCAGGCATGAGCCACCGCACCCGGCCCCCATCCTTCATTTCTAGCAGACAATTCTGTTGTAGGTAGGTGGGGGAAGACAACCTTACTTTGAAAAGTTAACCCAGGAGAATAGCTGAAATGATGTAAAGAGACACAGTAATGGATCAGAACTCCTGGAAAGGTTGAAGGGGATGGATCCAGAGAACAGCTGTGGGAACAGGGGTGAGGACGTAAAATGGGGGTGGCTGTAAAGAAGTTTCAGGTTGGGCACCTCATGGCCCTGTTCAAATGGTATGTTGTAGATCATCCTAAAGGCTTCCCGGAATCTGCCAGGAGGAGGCAGTTGGCAGTGAGGCCTTCGAAAGGGGTAGGACGTCTTCAAATCTTATTTCTCTGCCTTTTTGTATTTTATCTCCACTTTGTCTTAGCTTTCAGCCTAAGGACCTAGAATGACAAGATAAATTTGTGGAGATTCCTGTGAGATATAAGTAAACCCTACTGAACAGGGCAGGAGAAGCAGCTAGTTATATTGTATCCCGAATGCCAGAGGATGTCACTGTATTCATAGGTTTTCAGGATAGGGACCTGCTTTTTTTGCATTCCAAGAGCAAAGATCTAAGTTTTACCTTAGTCTACTGATGTAACAATAAGATAAACATCAACCGGGTTGCATTTAATTGCTTATATTTGCCACTTTATTACATCAAAGTGATTTTTAACTATGAAATCAGTTTAGAACTGCTTTTCAATCCTCCAAAGTAGTTGTGTGATTTCCCTTATGGTCAAGATTTTGTTAAAAACAGGGATCCAAGAAATTAAAAAACAAAATCAAAAAAATTTGTAATACTATCAATGATGTCTACCTTCTAACAACTTCCTCAAAAGGAAAAATCAAATATTCTGATTCATTTCAGCTTAAAGCCTTTATGCCGGTCTTCCCAAAGTACGGAGCCAAAGTATAAACCACTGGGAAAACTGAAGAGAGCTAGAACAGTTCACCGAGACTCAGGTAAGAAAAATGGTCCTGGGTTCAGAGGGGTGGGCTCCCTGCAAACACTGCTTTCCAGGGAGCTTGGGTCTGGGAGAAGTGGCCTTGGGCAGAGTGGACCTGGGACCCACCACAGGTCAGACTTGACACATGGTCTCAGGAAGTACTTTGCCTTCCTGTCTTCAGCCTGTAAAATCAGGAGTCTGCTCTCCTTCTCTGGGTTAAAACAAGTGGTGAAAACGGTGCCATCGTGTGTGGTGTTCTCAGCTTTCTGGAAATACACCCTAAGATCAGTAGAGGCCATAAAGAGAGGCTGGTTTGTTATCCTTGAACATTTTCTTAGGACATAGAGAGGCTGGTTTGTTATCCTTGAACATTTTCTTAAGATACTAGTAAATGCTGATAATAGACTTTTCTCATCATCATTTCTGATCAAGTTGATCAGTAGTGTTTATACAGAAGGATTTTTCTCTATACTTTGTACCTTCTTTCATTGCTACTTTGATTTTTCTAGTGAAGGACAGAGGCAAGCTCTGCAGTAGTAATCAGAACGTTAGATTCTGAGCAAAGCTCTGGGGCTTTCCAGCAGCCCTATTTCGTGGTTAGGATTCTTGATTTTCATTCCTTTGGTGGAAAGTCAGTTACTCTGCCATGCAGTAAATACTTGACCAAAACACACGAGATAATGATGATACTATTTTTTGAACACCTATTAATGGCAGGTATTGTGCTAGGTCCCTTACATATGTTATAGATAAGCCTCTAAACAAACTTACAAGGGGTACCATCCCAATTATAATGATGAGGAAACTGAAGTTTAGAGACTTAAGTCCCTAAGGACTAGCAAGAAGTAAGTGATGGGCCTGGGATTCTAATCTAGGCCTGTCTCATCTCTGCTTCTGCATTTCTGCTCATGGAGAATCTAATTTTAAAACATTTAGATGACAATTCCAAGACTGATATAGTAAGCCTATAACTGGTGCCCAAAAAAAACCACATTTGTTTTTGTTTCAATAATTAAAAGGTTTTAGAAAAACAGTTCCATTAATTTCAGATGTTAACTCTATTATGTAATGCATCCTCTAATCCTTACAAATTTACTAAGGTTTTTTTCTTTTTTTTTTTTTTTAAAAAACAGCTTTCCTGAGGTATAATTGATATAAACTGCACATGTAAGGTGTACAATTTGATAAATTTTTTGTATATGCATATACTTGAGAAACCATGACTACAATTAAGATACTGAAATTATCACCTTCAAGTTTTCTTATGCCCCTTTGTAATTCCCTCCGGTTCTCACCCATGCCAAGGCATCCACTGATCTGCCTTCTGTCACTATAGTTTGCATGTTCTAGAATTTCATATAAATAGAATCATATAGTACGTCTGGGTTATTTTACTCAGTGCATCAGAGATTCATTCATGTTGTTGCATGTATCAATAGTTCACCCTCTTTTATTGATAAGGAGTAGGCCACCTCAGGGATATACTACAAGTTGCTGATCCATTCACCTGTTGATGTATTTTTGGGTTGTTTCCAGTGTCTTTCTTATTAAAAAGAAAGCTGCCATGAACATTCATGTACAAACTTTTGTATGGACGTAGGCTTTCACACCTAAGAATGGGTCATATGGTAGCTGTATCTTTAAGAAACTGCCAAAATGTTTTCCAAAGTGGTTTGACCATTTTGTGTTCCCAGGAGAAGTGTATGAGAGTTCAGTTGCTCCACATCGTTGCCAATACTTGGTATGGTTAGACTTTTTAATTTTAAATATCCTAATAGGTGTGCAGTGATAGCTCTTTGTGGTTTTAATTTGCATTTCTCTAATGACTAGCAAGGTTGTGCATCTTTTAATGTGCGTATTTGCCATCCATGTATCTTCATTGGTGAAGTGTCTATTCAAATCTTTACTCATTTTTAAATTGTTGGGTTTGTTTTGTTTTGAGACAGAGTCTTGCTGTCACCCAGACTGGAGTACAGTGGCACAATCACAGCTCACTGCAACCTCAACCTCCCAAGCTCAAGTGATCCTCCCACTTCAGCCTCCCAAGTAGTACAGGCACATGCCACCATGCCTGGCTAATTTTTATATTTTTTGTAGACATGGAGTTTCACCATGTTGCCCAAGCTGGTCTCGGACTCCTGAGCTCAAGCAATCTGCCTGCCTTGGCCTCCTAAAGTGCTGGAATTACATGCATGAGCCACTGCACCCATCATATTACTAAGTTTTCCTAAGTTTCTGGATACAAGTTTTTTTTGTTTTTTTTTTTTAAATATATCAGGTGTATACAAAGATTTTCTTCTACTCTGTAGGTAATCTTTTCAATCTTTTTAGCAGAGTATTTTGAAGAGCAGAAATTTTAAATTTTAAGTGAACTTATCAATTTTTACTTTTTTTTGTATCATATCTAAGAAATCTTTGACCCAAAGGCATAAATATTTTCTCCTGTTTTCTGCCAGAAGTTGTTACAATTTTAGGTTTTACATTTAGATCTGTGATTCATTTTTGTTTTTAAAAATATGGTTCAAATGTAGATCCCAGGTAATTTTGTGTGTGTGTCTGTATGGATATCCAAATGTTCTTAAACCATTTGTTGGAAACACTATCTTAATTCACTGAATTGCTTTAGCACTTTTCTTGAGAGTCAATTTACAAGATATGTGGAGATTATTTTCTGGATTCTTTCTTATGTTTCATAATCTCTATCTTGACACCAATATCACCCATCTCGATTACTGTAGCTTTGTAAATCTTGAAGTCAGGTGCTTTAAGTTCTCCAGCCTTGTTCATTTTCAAAGTTGTTTTGGTTATCCTAGGTCCTCTGCATTTCCATATGAATTTTAGAATCATACGCCAATTTGTACAAAAATGTCCTCTCCTGAGGTTTTGATGAGGATTGTTTTAAATCTGTTGATCAATTTGGCAAGAACTGGCATCTTAACAATACTGAATTTTCAGATCCATGAACATGGTATACCTCTCAGTTTACTTAAGTCTGCTCTAATTTCTCTCAGCAGTGTTTTATGATTTCCAGCGTATAAGTCTGTGTAAATCAATCCCTAAGTATTTCATTTTGGGGGATACTGTTGCACATGGTATTACTTTTTAAGTTTCAATTCCTGATTGTTGTTAGTATATAGAAATATAGGCTGAGTGTCCCTTATTCAAAATGCTTGGGAGCAGAAGTGTTTTGGATTTTGGACTTCTTTGAATTTTGGAACATTTGCATTTGCATTTAATGGTTGAACCTCTTTAATCAGAAAATCTAAAATGCTGCAATAAGGATTTCCTTTGTAGTTCAGATGTCAGACTTTTGGATTAGGGATATGCAATGCAACCTGTGCAATTGATTTTTGATCTTGTATCCTGCAACCTTGCTAATCTCAAGTATCAGTTCTAGTGCCTTTTCTTGTAGATTCCATTGCGGTTTCTATATAAGATCATCATTGTTTGTGTATATAGACAGTTTTGCTTCTTCCTTTTCAGCCAGGATGTTTTTCTCTTTCTTGTCTAGACTACCACTACAGTGTGAAACAAGTGGCAAGAGTGGGTGTCACTGCCTTGTTCCCAATCTCAAGGAGAAAGCATTCATTGTTTCACCATTAAGTTCATTATTTCACCATTAAGTATAATGATAAGTATAGGCTTTGTGTCAGGCAGAATTACTTCCCTTCTGTTCTTGGTAGGTGGAGAGATATCAACAATGGATAATGGGTTTTGTCTAACGCTTTTTCTGTATTTGTTGAGATGATCATATTGTTTTTCTTTATACTCTGTTAATATGGTGACATACACTGATTTTTGAGTGTTAAACCAAACTTGCATTTCTCTAATCCCACTTAGTCATGGCATATTATCCTTTTTAAGTATTATGGTAAGAATTTTCTCATTTACTTTCAGAAGGGATATTGATCTGGAGTTTTGTCTTTTCCTTGTAATTGTGTGGTTTTGGTATCAGGATACTGCTGGCCTCATTGTTGTGAGGTGTTTATTCTCAGTCTCTGGAAAAATTTTTCGAGGATTGGCATTATATCTTTCTTAAATGACTGGTAGAATTTACCAGTGAAGCCATCTGGGTGGGAAAGGAGTTTTCTTTGTGGGAAGGTTTTTTTTTTTTAACTACAAATGTGATTTCTCTAATAGGCACAGGACTATTCAGGTTATTTTTTTTTTTATTGAGTTAACTTTGGTAACTTGAATCTGTCAAAGAATTTGTCTTATCCATGTTGCTTAATTTTTTGGCATAAACTTGTTCTTAATGTTTATTATTTTACTATCTGTAGAATCTACTGATATTAATCCTCTTGCTCCTGATATTAGTAGTTTGTGTCTTCTCTCATTTTTTTCTTGATTAGTCTAGCTAGAGGTTTACCAGTTTTACTGATCTTCTCAAATAAGAAGTTTTTGGTTTTATTTTCATTTTCTCTCTTTTTTGTTTTTTTGGCACGGGGTAGTTTTCTATTTCATTGAATTCCACTCTGATCTTTATCTGCTTACTTGGAATTTTATTTGCTTTTCATTTTTAAGTTTCTTAATATGGAAGCTGAGGTCGTTGATTTGAGACCTTATTTTCTAATGTAGGCATTTAGTGCTATAATTTTCCCTCTTTAGCAGCATCCCATAAATTTGTCTTGTTTTCATTGTCATTCAAAACATTTTTAAATTTTTCCTTTGACTTTTTTTCTTTGACACATGGGTTATTTAGAAATTTGTTACTAGTTTCTGAATTTTGGAGGACTTCCCAGGGATTATTCTGTTATCTAAATTAATGTTATTGTGGTTAGAGAACATACTTTGTATGATTTTTTTTTTTTTTAATGAGATGGATTCTCTCTGTTCCCCAGGCTGGAGTGCAGTCACACAATCTTGGCTCATTGCAACCTCTGCCTCCCAGGTTCAAGTGATTCTCCTGTGTCAGCATCCGAAGTAGCTGGAATTACAGGCTCACGCCACCATACCTGGCTAATGTTTTGTATTTTTAGTAGCCACAGGGTTTTGCCATGTTGGCCAGGCTGGTCTCAAACTCCTGACCTCAGGTGATCCACCTGCCTCCCAAAATGTTGGGATTACAGGCGTGAGCCACCACACCTGGCCTGGTACTTTTGAAATTTATGGTCCAGAATATTTACGGACCATCAATTGTGGACCAATTTACACATTAAACCTGGTAAATGTTTAATGTGTACTTCAAAGAAATATATGTACTACTGTTGTTGGATGAAGTGTTCTATAAATGTCAACTAGGCTAAGTTAGTTGACAATGTTGTTCAGGTCTTCTACATTCTTGTTCTATCAATTATTGCCAGAGAGGGGTGTTGCAATCTCCAGTTGTAATTGTGGACTTGCCTATTTTGCCTTGATTAGTTCTATTGGCATTTGCTTCATCTATTTGAGGCACTATTAATAGGTATACACAAGTTTAAGATTCTTATATCCTCTTGAGGGATTGATACCTTTATCTTTAGGAAATGAGTCTATCCCCTGGTAACATTCTTAGTTCTACAATCTACTAGAGCCATTTGAATTTCTTCTCATTAATATTGGCTTGATGTATCTTTTTCCATCTCTGTATTTTTAACTAGTCTTTATATTTAAAGTGGGTTTCTTGTAAGCAGTATGTTGTTGGATGTTTTTATGGCCAACCTGGTATTTTCTGGCTTTTAATTGCAGTGCTTAGTCCACTTAGTTTAATGGTACCCATTGATATGGTCAGGTTTAAGTTTATCCTCTTGCTATTTGTTCCATTTGTTCTTTATTCTTTTTTGGCCTTCTTTCAGGTCAAGTAATTACTGACTGATTCTGTTTAATCTCTTGTTGGGTTATTGGCTGTGTAACTCACTGATTTCTTATTTTAGTGGCTTATAATGCAGTCATCCCTTAGTATCCTTGGGGGATTGGTTCCAGGACCCCCCCAAGAGTACCAAAATCTGCAGATGCTCAAGTCATATTAAATGGTGTTACATTTGCATATAACCTACACATATCCTCCCATATACTTAAAATCATCTCTGGATTACTTATACCTAATACAGTGTAAATGCTTGGTAACTAGTTGTTATACTGTATCAATTTTTGTGTTTTTTGTATTTTAATTTTTGCTTTTTTCCAAATATGTTTGATCTGTGGTCAGTCAAATCTACAGATGTGGAACCTGTGGATACAGAGGACTGACCGTATACATCTTTAACATATCAGAGTGAAAAGATAAATGATATATTACTCCAAATATGGTATAGGAATGTTCCAGCAGTATATTTCCATTCCTCTTCTCCCAGTCTGTGCTGTTATTGTCATACATTCTCTGTTATTAACTTTATAAACTCCACAATACAAAATTATTTTTTAAGCTTTATTGAAGTATAATTGATACACCATAAATTCATCCATTATAGGTGAACAATTCCACGACTGTTAGTATAACAGAATTGTACAATCATCCCCACTATCTAATTTTGGAACATTTTTTGTTACCCAAAAAAGAAACTTTATGTCTATTTCCAGTCACTCCCCATTACTATTCCCGGCCTTAGGCCGCAACTAATCTATGGTTTGTCTCTATAGATTTGTGTTTTCTGGACACTTCATATAAGAGAACTCATATGGCCAGGCACAGTGGCTCGCGCCTGTAATCCCAGCACTTTGGGAGGCCAAGGCAGGTGGATCATGAGGTCAGAGAGATCGAGACCATCCTGGCTAACACGGTGAAACCCCGTCTCTACTAAAAACACAAAAAATTAGCCAGGTGTGGTGGCGGGCGCCTGTAGTCCCAGCTATTGGCCAGGCACAGTGGCTCACGCCTGTAATCCCAGCACTTTGGGAGGCCAAGGCGGGTGGATCATGTGGTCAGAGAGATCGAGACCATCCTGGCTAACACGGTGAAACCCCGTCTCTACTAAAAACACAAAAAATTAGCCAGGTGTGGTGGCGGGCACCTGTAGTCCCAGCTATTAGGGCAGCGGAGGCAGAATGGCGTGAACCCAGGAGGCAGAGCTTGCAGTGAGATCACACCACTGCACTCCAGTGTGGGCGACAGAGCGAGACTCTGTCTCAAAAAGAAAAAAAAGAAATTATACACCATGTGCTATTTTGTGCCTGGCTTTTATTTCGCATTATCTTTTCAAGGTACATCTATACTGTGGCATATATCAGTATTTCATACCTTTTTATTGCCAACCAATATTCAATTGTACAGGCATACAACATTTTATTTATCCACTCACCAGCTGATGGACATCTGGGTTGCTTCTCCTTTTTAAATAATAATGCTATGAAAATTTGAGTACAAGTCTTTACGTATCTTTCTGTTGGGTTTTATTTCTTGTGGGGGGTAGAATTTTGGAGTCATATAGTTGGCTTGGGCTGCCCTAAGAAAATAACACATACTAGGTAGCTTAAACAGGAGGCCAGGCATAGTGGCTCACGCCTATAATCCCAGCACTTTGGGAGGCCGAGGCGGATGGATCACCTGAGATCAGGAGTTCAAGACCAACCTGGCCAACATGGTGAAAACTTGTCTCTGCTTAAAAAAAAAGTAAAAATTAGGCTGGGCACAGTGGCTCAAGCCTGTAATTCTAGCACTTAGGCAGATCAAGTCTCCAGCCTTATGATGGTTTAATTATTTCCCTAGAGGTCCATCTCTAGATAACAGCCACACTGGCTTTAGGGCTTCCACATATGAATTTTGACAGGAAGCGTTCAGTTCATAACATATGGTCAATCTGTTTTAACACTCCAAGGAACTGCCAAACATTCCCACACTGAATACATTTTACATTCTCTCCGGCAATATGTAAAGATTCCAGTTCCTTCACATATTAGCCAACACTTCCGTCTTTTTTAGTATAGCCATCCTAGTGTATGGTGGTACCCTGCAGTTTTGATTTGCATTTCTCTAATGACTAATGTTGAGCTTTCTTTCATGTGCTTATTGGCCATTTATGTAACTTCTTCAGTGAAATGTCTATTCTGATCTTTTGCCCCCATTTCAACTGGATTATTGACCTTTGTATTGAGTTGTAAGAGTTAAAGTCTGGTATCAGTCCTTTATCTGACATGATTAGGAAATATTTTCTCAGACTTGTCTTTTCACCTTCTTGATGGTGTCTTGAAGCGTAAAGGTTTTAAGTTAAATTTGTCTATTTTTTTCTTTTATTGCATATGCTTTGGTGTCATATCTAAGAAACTATTTGATCCAAGATCATGAAAATTGACTCCCATGTTACATAATTTTACAGTCAGTTTTGACTGTATCTTCCTGCTTCTTGAATTTCTGATAATTTGTTTTTGAATGCCATACATTCTGAATTTTACCTTTTTAGGTCCTGCATAATTTTGGGATTTCTAAAAACATTCTTGAGCTTTGTTCTGGCATGTGGTTAGCATGTTTATAGTTTGATCTTTTCGTGTCTTTTACCTTTGTTATGCAGGAACAGAGTAGCATTTAGTATATGGTTAATTTTCCCCACTACTGAGGCAAGGCTCTTCTTGGTTCTTTTACAAATGCCCATGGATCATGAGGTTTTCCACTCTGGCTGTTGGGACCAGGACAAGACACTGTTCCTGGCACGGTGAGTTCTGGGCACTTTCTTTCCTTTTGTTTGAGTGATTCGTTGCCTGGCTGCAGGTAGTTTCCTTACAAGCACATGCTGCTTAGTGCACTGAACACGTGGTGGGGACGCCTCTGCAGCTTTTCAGAGTTTCTGTGCAGCACTCTCCTCTCTGGTCTTCTGCTCTGTAAACTCCAGGTACATTTATTTCTTCAATGTTCCACTTCCACCTCACATCAAGGATGTCCATGGGCTCTATCCAGATGTTCCCTCCCTGACTGGAATCTGTTATGAAGCAGGGAGTCAGGCAATCATAGGACTCATCTGTGTCTTATTTCTCATGTCATTGTCCTTAATTGCTCGATGTCCATTTTCTTGAGAGATAGTTTCTGATTTTTCGTTATTTCAAGTGGGAGGTTAAATCTAGTCCGTTACTCCATCTTACCTGGAAGCAAAAGTCCTTTCTTCCTTTAATCTTTTGTGCCTTTTATGCATCTACCCAATCCACACTCCTTTTTGATAAATGTCTTTTGGGATCAGGCATAGTCACTGATTTGGAATGCAGAACTGTTCAACTTAGAGATCATACAAAAATATTTCATAAAAAGGTAATTTTGGGCTAGGCAAAGTGGCTCATGCCTCTAATTCCAGCAATTTGGGAGGCCGAGGGGGTGGATTGCCTGAGTGCAGGAGTTCAAAACCAACCTGGGCAACAAGGGGAAACACTGTCTAAAAAAAATTAGCTGGGCATGGGGGTGGATCTCCTGAGCCTGAGAGGTAGAGGCTGAACTGTGACTGTATAAAACTCAAAAAACAACTTTGGCATAGTAGTGAGGGACCTAAAACATACATATGATCTTTGGCTTAAAATCTACATTCTGCAGTCTAGGATGATTCCAAATACAGTCGTTAGATATCTTAGTGACCTTAAGCCCTAAGTTCAGTTACAAGTCATAACACTGAACCTTTAAGAATGAGGTTGGGTCGTGTGTATTGGCACACCCTTTTCTCTGGGCCTAGCTTCACACGGGGAACATGGGAGCTGGATAATGGTCTCTATGGTCCTTTATATTAGTGTCTTAAAAATGCAGTGTTTAGCCACATCATTTAAGTGGATTATTATAACACCAGATTCAGCAGTAGAACAAGAAGTTGCCATACACAGTAGTCTTGGGTGCATTTAACTTTCTTCCTAGGTTAGATACTGTTACAAGATGGGAAAATATTTGTTTTTCTAAGTAAGGCTTTTTTCATTTTAAGAACATTTGTTGACACAGCATGCTTATTAATGTTTTGAATTTTAAGTTCTTGACACGTTGATTATTCAGTATTTTGCTTTAAAGTTGATTTAACCTGTTGCAACCTTGTGCATAAAACATGTCAATAAGATGCTCACAGAAGAAAAACCTTAATAAAAAGCAATTTAATTTTCCTAAGTCAGCCAACCCACTGAGCATCTACTATTTGCAGAGCACACAGGCTTTGCAAACCTGGCTGAACAGATATCAGCTGTAGAACTTAAAAATCAAATTATTTGGTCCTATCTTCCTCAGGGATTCAGTAGGTCTGGAATGAGATACAGAAACCTGTTTTTTTTTTTTTTCTTTTTTTGAAGTTTTGCATATGATCGTAATGATCAGCCAGGCTTACATATAGAGCAGAGTGACTGCTCTATATTCTCCACTGATACTCTGGCATTTATTATAAAAAGTTGAAGGATGGCAGTTAAATTGTTCAGCATATCCCAAGAATATCTTTTCCCTTTGAAGAAGAGTGGCCTCCCTATTCTTTGCAATTCCAAGAATTAAAAGTACAGATAAATACTACAAATTGGCTCCCTTTGCCTTGTTTCCTATAAACCTGTTTTGTTTGTCCCACAGAGGAGGAAGATGACTATCTCTTTGATGATCCTCTGCCAATACCTTTAAGGCACAAAGTTCCATACCCGGAAACTTTTCACCCTGAGGTATTTTCAATGACTGCAGTATCAGAAAAGCAGCCTGAAAAACTGAGACAAACCCCAGGATGCTGCAGAGCAGAGTGTATGCAGAGCTCTCGTTTCACAAACTTTGTAGATTGTGAAGAATCCAACAGTGAAAGTGAAGAAGAAGTAGGAATCCCAGCTTCACTGCAAGGAGATCTGGGCTCTGTACTTCACCTGCAAAAGGCTGATGGGGATGTACCCCAGTGGGAAGTATTCTTTAAAAGAAATGATGAAATCACAGATGAGAGTTTGGAAAACTTCCCTTCCTCCACAGTGGCAGGGGGATCTCAGTCACCAAAGCTTTTCAGTGACTCTGATGGAGAATCAACTCACATCTCCTCCCAGAATTCTTCCCAGTCAACACACATAACAGAACAAGGAAGTCAAGGCTGGGACAGCCAATCTGATACTGTTTTGTTATCTTCCCAAGAGAGAAACAGTGGGGATATTACTTCCTTGGACAAAGCTGACTACAGACCAACAATCAAAGAGAATATTCCTGCCTCTCTCATGGAACAAAATGTAATTTGCCCAAAGGATACTTACTCTGATTTGAAAAGCAGAGATAAAGATGTGACAATAGTTCCTAGTACTGGAGAACCAACTACTCTAAGCAGTGAGACACATATACCCGAGGAAAAAAGTTTGCTAAATCTTAGCACAAATGCAGATTCCCAGAGCTCTTCTGATTTTGAAGTTCCCTCAACTCCAGAAGCTGAGTTACCTAAACGAGAGCATTTACAATATTTATATGAGAAGCTGGCAACTGGTGAGAGTATAGCAGTCAAAAAAAGAAAATGCTCACTCTTAGATACCTAAGAATTCAAAGCGTTTCAACCTAGAGCAACCACTAAAAAACCTGCACAGAGATGACAGTCAATATTACAATAGAGAAAATACAGTACTTAAAAATGTTCAAATAACCTGGTTGGGTGTGGTGGCTCACACTTGTAATCCCAGCACTTTGAGGTGGGCAATGGCTTGAGCCCAGGAGTTCGACACCAGCCTGGCCAACACAGTGAAATGTGTCTCTACTTACAAAAAAAAAAAAAAAAAAAAAAGCCAGGCATGGTGGTGGGCTACTCTGGAGGCCCTTGAGGATCACTTGAGCCCAGGAGATTGAGGCTGCAGTGAGCCATGACTGTGCCACTGCACCTCTAGTCTGGGTGACAGAGCAAGACCCTGTTTAAAAAAGAAAAAGGCCAGGCACGGTGGCTCATGCCTGTAATCCCAGCTACGCAGGAGGCCAAGGCAGGAGAATCACTTGAACCTGGGAGGTGGTGGTTGCAGTGAGCTGAGATTGTGTCATTGCACTCCAGCCTGGGCAACAAGAGCAAAACTCTGTCTCAAAAAAAAAAAAAAAAAAAAAGAAAAAAAAATGGTAGAACTAAACCCATACGTATCAATGATTACATTAAATGTAAATGGTCTAAGTGCATCAATGACAAGAGACACGGAAAAAACCAACATAACCCAGTGATCTGCTGTCTATAAAGAAAGTCAATTCAAGTGATTGATAGGTTAAAAGGATGGAAAAACCATGTAAACAATTAAAAATGGAGTGGTTATATGGACAGTTTCCTAATGATAAAAGGTCTAGTTCACCAAGAAGACAAAATAATCCTAAACGTATATGCACCTAACAGCTCCAAAAATTTATGAAGCTAGAACAGCTGAAAAGAGACAAACTAATGCACAATTACAGCTAGGGATTAATTTAACATCCCTCCTTAGTAACAGAACTAGTATATACACATTAATCAGTAAGAATATAGAACTGAAAATCATAAGCCGACTGGATTAAATTGACATTTATAGAACACACCACCCCAAACTAGCAGAATGTATCTCCTGAAGTACACATGGAACATTCAGCATGATCATATCTTTGCTCATAAACACACCTGATTTAAATTGACAAACTTGGATCTAGTATGATAAACTGATGGCTATAGACAAAATCAGCACCTTATTTATCCCCAAAGATGTTAAGTCACTTAACCTTGATGTGAATACGGTGGCCAAATTAGAAGCGGACAATTAGAATATAAAAGAAAATGCTCAAGAATTAAATGGTGGCCAGGCACAGTAACTCCTGCCTGCAATCCCAGTACTTTGGGAGGCTCGCTTGAGCTCAGGGTTTTGAGTCCAGCCTGGGCAACACACAGGGAGACCCTGTCTCCACAAAATGTTAGCCAGACATGGTGGTGTGCACCTGTAGTCCTCGCTACTTGGAAGGCTTAGGTGGCAGGATGGATTGAGCCCAGGAGGTTGAAACTGCAGTGAGCTGATTGTGCCCAGCCTGGGCAACAAAGCAAGACCCCATCTCAAGAAAAATAAATTAAAAAAAACTAAAGTATATGTGTTATTCTGTGAGTCATTCAACATTCTTGAAGTCCATCAATGTGTTAGGCTTTTGTGTTATGTATGAGGATTTTTAACAAGTTTTAACAGATATTCAGGAACACTTAGTTATTGTGACATTTCATAGATTATGGAAGCAAAAGCAGAGACACCACTTAAAACAATTTGCAGATCAGTTAAACTAACACTTGATATGCATTATCATGATGCTGCATGGCAATCCGACCAAAAAGTATTGGATCCACCAGACTAACCAGGGTAACAAGACTCAGAGTTAGTATACACATAACTATACACATTTGTATATATTCACTGTTAACTAAAACTTAGTTTTAACAGTGTACCTTATGATCGAAAGTGGTTGTTCAAAAAATGCCTGTAAACATTCCTCTGAATATATTCCTGTTATTTTATAATCACATTAATATTACATACTGTTACGTTTGTTTTATATGTGAGTCTGGCATTATAAATGCTGGCTGAATGAATTGGGCTAAGACAACTACAACAGATGTGATCAAGAAACCGATAGTGATTACCAGAAATTATATTTGGTGCTTACTCTGATGATGCTCTTAAGTTTTTTACAGACTATATGAACTCCTTTAATTTTCACAACCACCCTTTGAGGTAGATACATTTCTAATCCCCATGTACAAATGAGACAAAGGCACAGAGGTTAGTTCACATAGCTATGAGGCACAGGCAGAATTCAAACACAGGCAGTTTGGCTTCAGAGACCATGATCTTAACTGCTATGCTCTGATGTCTCTCCAAAAAAGTATAAACATGAGCAGGGTTAATTGTAGCAGCTACTTGGTTTTTACGTCAAGAATCATAAACCACAAGAGGAAACATGAAGTTTTTGTTTTTTACTTTTCAAGATGGAGTCTCGCTCTGTCACTCAGGCTGGAATGCAGTGGCCCTATCTCAGCTCACTGCAACCTCAGCCTCCAGGGTTCAAGTGATTTTCCTGCCTCAGCCTCCCAAGTAGCTGGGATTACAGGTGTGTGCCACACCTGGCTAATTTTTGTATTTTTAGTAGAGACAGGGTTTCACCATATTGGTCAGACTGGTCTTGAACTCCTGACCTCTGGTGATCCACTCGCCTCGGCCTCCCAAAGTGCTGGGATTACAGGCGTCAGCTACCGTGTCCAGCCGAAACATGAAGTTTCAAAATGCCAAGATGTATCACAGAAGACACTCAGCAGTCAGCCACATTTATCTTGGAGAAGAGTTCCAGGACTTAAATGTTTGAATAGTATAAACTAGTTTTTTAAAAAGTCTGCCTGAAGCCGAAGATTAAATACTTTAAAAAGTTCACTGGGTGATCTTGGCATGTTGACATTATCTTAACAGTCTAAGCTTGTTACCTTACACCAACCTGACAGGTTCATTAGAAGCACATGAATACATATAAAAGGCATAAAAGACTGGGTCAATGAATATGAGCTCTGAATTCTAAAATTCCTTTGCATTTCTAGGCAGTACTTACCATAGTATGTTTACGTACCTGGTGAGTGACAATGCTCAAAAATTTCTGAAGTATTCATCCACATTATGCTAGCGAAATGTCAAATTGTCCTTTAATATTCAAATGCATGAACCATCACTCCTTGGCCTTTTGGCCAAGATCAAGTGTAGTATCAAATGCATGAACCATGAAAGCTATCTTAAAAGGAAAGTAACATTTAAAGGAATTGAATATAAACCTTCGGTTAATCTTGCTAGCACGTAGTCAATACATCAGTATTTTTCTGCCCCTTTTATAGTCTTACTGGAAATGACTGTAAAACAGAAACAAAGCTAAGCCATGGTAAATAGAACATTAAATGCCCAACCTAATTTATTTTGCTAAGAGAAACTGATGAACTAAAAGAGAAACAACTATTGTCTACATTTTAGATATGGGGGAAAAAACCCTGAGATTACTAATTATGTATCACCATCCTCTTAATGTAGATCCTGAAAATGATGGTATCAATATAATACATACAGTGGATTCACCTTTTAAACTGGATCTATTACCTTTGATATTTGTCTTACACTGAAAAATTCTGACATCTTCAGGAAACCAATATGATGGATAAGCTAAATGTTGACTTAAAATAGTTAAACCCCTTAATAACATCCTTTAGTTTCTATTATTTCACTGCTTAAGTTCAGCATCTGAATAACAAAGGTAACATAAGTAGTACTTAAGATCCCAAAGGCCCATTACATTCTATCAATAAAGACAAAACAAAACTACATGTTTACTGAAAATAGTCTTTTTTTCTTTGCTTTCCAGTTTTACACTTTTGTTGAACACAAAAAAGTGGACAAGATCAAATAACTAGATGGTAAAACACTGATTTTTTAAAAATCACATCTTTAAACCCGTGAGAATCACAATTCAAAGTATGGCCACTGGGGGCAACCTGTAAACCTACAACCTTTTCTTAACACTGACACTATGTGACTGATTTTTCTTAAAACACAAATGCCATTAAGAAAGTATTTTTTGTTGACACATTCTGCAAAAAAAAAAAAAAAAAAAAAAAAAAATTTTTTTTTTTTGGAGACAGTCTTACTGTGTCACTCAGGCTGCAGTGCAGTGGTATGATCTTGGCTCACTGCAACCTCCGCCTCCTGAATTCAAGTGATTCTCCTGCCTCAGCCTCCTGAGTAGCTGGGACTACAGGCGTGTGCCACCACGCCCGGCTAATTTTTGTATTTTCAGTAGAGACAGGGTTTCACCATGATGGCCAGGCTGGTCTTGAACTCCCGACCTCACGTGATCCTCCTACCTCAGCCTCCCAAAGTGCTGGGATCACAGGTGTGAGCCACCACACAGGCCTGGCCCCCCATTCTGCAATTTTGGTTAACAGAATCTGAGGGTCCAATCATGTAAACAATTTATCCTATATATTATGAAAGAGTGAAGTTGTCATAGCAATATAATGAATAAAGTCTAGCTTCTCCCAAGAAAGAGCTAAAGATTAAGAAGTGCTGCATTCTTGAAGTTGGTTCAATTTTATCCAAGCTTATTTTAGGTAATCAAAGCCTGGAGCAATGAGCTTAGGTAAAAATTAGGAATACTGAAAGCTAGATTTGCTGCATTTATCATTTTCACAACACAATTAGAAATCTCAGAATCAGACATGAAAGAATAGTTTTTCCTGAGATTCAATACTATGTTGGAAGCCTCCCACTCCCTTGAAAACTAATATATTCTATTTTAGTCTTCGTAGGTTGACTAATAAAAAGGTCTAATAATTCAGGCACACACTTTGGCCAAGTTTAGCTTTATCACATCTAAAAAAAATTTATGTATAAAACAAGTATCAGTTCAAAAATATAGATTACTTTTTAAGAAGAACCTGCAGGAAGTATAAAAATATTAAATCTGGTGGAAAGGAACTGTTACACCTGCCTGAAATTGAGAGGCTGTAATGTTAATGTACATTACAGTATTGTTAGGTACAGCTGCTCTCCAGGCAGCTTGTTTTACCGTTTAGATCAGAGGTACTCGACACAGATTTCCAATTCATGTTACTAACAGGCGCCCTTAAAGTGCTCCATTCCCCTTGCTTGGTACTCCAAAAAACCATCCTGGTCCCATTATCATGTCCTTTCAAAGAAGCATAATGGCTAGCCATTTTGGACTTCTAGAGAGAGCTCTTCGGAGATTTTTCTTCTAGAAGATTAAGAAGTCTTTTAAGAATTACAGGTTCAGACATACACTCATCACAACAGTCTAGATTGCTTCGAAATACGAAATGAAGCTGAAATTAATTTTTACATTTAATTTTATACCTTAAATTTCTTTATCATTGAGGTGCCAATGTTTTAATGGAAAAGTAGAAAACAGTATAAAATTCAGTATCACCTATTTGTCTCAAATACAAGTACAGTGAGTATTAAACAGGAATGACAATAGAGTAGCAAAAACAGAACTGTAGATTTGCCCAAATTAACTGTTTCTCCGAATTTGAGGTGTATGGCAAGTTGAATCTTTGATCTCTCAGCAGTTGTTAATTACATTATCAGCTTAACGCTTTCAAACACTACGGGAGGCATTTCTCTGTTCACATAGACTTAAGTACACATATACTAAGCTGTAAATAGTCTGCCTTCCATTAGTTTGGTCTCTAAGCACTATAAATATGTCGACTTCATATCAGTCTATGAGACCCAGTGACCCCCTTTTCAGAGGCATCGGTAATACATTTGGCAAATGTCTTGAAACATGAATTGTAAATTAACATAGGTAGAACCTTGATAATAAGAGTCCCAAATATGTATTTTTAAAAATGTTAACATTAGGAAAAAAATATTATAATCATCAGCTCTATTTCCTGAAAAAGTTCAGTTGAGGTAACCTCTGCAAGTCACAGCTCCACATTTACATACTGTTCTGACCCTCTTTTTGGCTGGGCTGTGGTCAATAGAATCTGAAGATATATCTCCAGAACCTGAAGACACAGAAAAAGAAATATAGGAGAAAGAGAGTTAAGACAATTTAGAATAAATTTCAAATTTTCTATTATATTAGCTTTATTATCAGTGATAGAGGGTACTTACATGGTCAAGACCCTTAGAGTAAGTTAACTCCCAAGGAAATGTAGTTAGTTCCCTTTGAAATATTTACAAATAAATGTTAATATTCAGCGTCAAATCATAATGAATTGTCTTGAAAGGATGGTGTGGGTTAATAATAGGTAAACTTTATGTTATTAGCCCATATTTGTCAGAAAGGATTTCTGAAATGATGAAACTTACTGGGAATATCTAATACACATTCATTTCACACCGTATATAAAAGCACAGTATGTAAGAGGTTAAGCAATGACAATATGTAAAGGCCATCATTCTTAAAGGAAAGAAAACATTTATATTGTCACAATAAAGCAAATAGAATTAAATGTTCTTTTTAAAAGCCAGGTTCAAGTAGGAATAGAATAAATTTGTATGTGATTTAAATATTTTCAATCTTTTGAATATACATCTCTCAGTAAAAATTCAAAAATGTAGGCTTATAGTTTTTTTTTTCAGACAGGGTCTCTGTCGTCCAGGCTGGAGTGCAGTGGTGCTATTCACAGCTCAACTGTAGCCCCAACCTCCCTGTCTCAAGCCATCCTCCCACCTCAGCCTCCCGAGTAGCTGGGACTACAGGCACACGCCACCACGCCCGGCTAGTTTTTTCATATTTTGTAGAGACAGAGTTTCACCATGTTGCCCAGGCTGGTCTTGAATTCCTGGGCTCAAGCCCAGAGTGCTGGGATTACAGGCAGGAGCCAGCATGCTTAGCCCACAATTTAAAAAAAAAAAAAAAGACAAGTAGTACAGTATTAAGATGCTATAATAAATAAATCAGTTTCCAAAATGGAAGTTCTGAAAATTTACGATGTAGAACCATTCCTCAGCTGAAGCTCAGGCAGACCTGGGTTCTAGTATTAGCTGTTGGATTAGCTTTGTACCTTAGGATGACAAACTTAGTGCCTCAACTTTTCATCTTTAGTATTAGGTTTGGTTCAAATATCTAAGGTCTGTTCCTAGTCTGATTTGATTCTTCATATTGAAACTGACACCAATGAAACTGTACTTGAAAAGCATACCTTTCATTTGATAATCAAAAGTCAGCTCTTCTCCAGCATTTATGGTTCTTGTGGAAAACAATGCTATTCGGGGAAGACGAGTATCGAGGTTATCAATGAAAACATTGAACACCTGAAGATTTGGGTCACACTAAAAAGGAACATTAGAACCCATTTAAGTACAAACGGTGTAAACAAGCCCTTCTACATGCCATATAAAATGTTTACTTTCCTAGAGATTTAGTTTAAGTTCCACTGGAAATTAAGTTGCTTATTGCTTAGAGGTCTTTGAGGCATGCACATTTAAAAAGATTTTTTTCCCTTATAAAAACTTCAGACAAGTATAAAATAGAGAAAATAAGAAATCCCTATGTATCCACTATACAGCTTCAACAATTAGTAACATGCTTGCCAATCTTATTCCTCTAGTCCCAACTTTTTTTTTTCCTGGAGAATTTCAATACAAATCCCAGATAACATTATTATTTCACTGGTAACTATTTCAGTAAGGCATACACTTTAAAATAACTAGAACAACTGTGTTTAAAAAATCAAATCTGCACTACAGAACTCAAATTTTACACTGCATGGAGTTTCACTGCTTGAATTTTTGGTCCAAACTCTTCAATGTTTTGAGAATACTACAGTAAACTTACGGAATATGCAAGAAAAAAGATGTAGTGAGTCATACTAAGGAATCAAAACTGTTTGATGGCCCTGGATAGAATATCTCTATTTTGAGAGTATCTCGAATTTATCATTAAGAAAAAAATTCTTCAATGTTTAATCAACAAACAAGGGCCCAGAAGCTCTCTGCTAATCATACACCAATTTCTTACTATGAAATCCATCAGAAGTTTAACATGGTCTACTTCCTTTATATGTTCAGCTATATAACTTTGTGGCACACACTGTCCTTATTATCCACAAAATGCAGATAATGTCACCCTAACAAGCCTAATGTTTTACTGTCCACTTGCTACTTAGTAGGTAACCCAAAATTATTAACTTCCCTAATTTTTGGAAATTATTTAGAGTCCAGAATTCTGCAGTTAAGTGCCAGCTGTATTCTAAGAGCTTTCAGACATTAAAAGGTAAGGAAGAATACTAATTTATAATTTAGAAAAATAGCCCTACATAAATACTCTACAAATCTTTAAATTTTATAAAAAGTTAACATGTTTACATTTTAAGAAAATACATTTACCTTCAGTTGTACATCCTAAAATGTAGTCGTGTTAACTTCCATTAAGATACAGTTCTGTGTAATTCTTGGACATTTTACCTCTTAATTGCTCTGCTCATTGTAATATGAAAGTAATACCTACCGTACAAAGTTACTAGAAAGTTTAAATGAAGTAACATATGTAAAGACTCTTGTAAAATACACCCTATTAATATTTGGTAGGCACCTCAATGTTTAATTTTCCTAATACAGCAATAATACCATAACTTAACAGAAGCTGCCCTCCTTATAAAATACATATTTTGGAAATGTTAAAAGGATATGTAGTTTAAAGGGAATTATTCTTTAGCTATGGAAACTAGTACTAGGTTGAATTGTTAGTCGTGTCTAAAATTTACGTATGTCTTCTTACGCTGTGATTCACAAAATGAGACACATTGCCGTATCGAGCCGCATCCACTGTGAATTCATCAGACTCATAGTCCAGATCAAAGAGATACGTGATTCCCTTGTTGTCATAGAACTGTCCTCGTCTTTCAGCTTCTTCACTTGTGATTACCTAAACAGAAAAAACTGTAAGTATATTACGTAGCTACTGAACCAAAGAAGCATTCATCTACCTATCTACTAATATGCGAATACCTACAAATATTTAAAAAGTAAGAAATTCAGGTGTCATCAAAGCAAACATTCACACAAACTAAGACTCAGATGCAAAGAGGTGGGAAAATGAGGGGAAGAAAAATGATAATGCAAAAGACTGATGACCTTTTTTTTTTAAACAGGGTCTCACTCTGTCACTCAGGCTAGAATGCGGTGGTGCCATCATGACTCCCTGTATCCTTTAACTCCTGGGATCAAGCGATCTTCCTGCCTCAGCCTCCTGACTAGCTGGATCACAGGTGCATACCGCCATGCCCAGCTAATGATTTAGTTTTTATAGAGATGTGGGGTCTCACTATGTTGCCCACACTGGTCTGGAACTCCTGGGCTCAAGTGAGCCTCCAGCCTTGACCTCCCCAAGTGCTGGGATTAACTGTAACTGGTTGATTTATGACTTTTTAAACAGGATTTGAGCAGTACATTGGAACACTGCATTACTTTCATTATAATTAGGATGTTCAAAAAGCTATACAACTATAGCTCTCTACAGGACACAACTGAATGTTAAGGACTAAATCTGCAAGTATATGCTCTAAATATGATCCAGGCACATTTTTCCTATAACTTATATATATGCAGTTACAAATGGAAAATTGTTAAAAATACAGGGGAGAAGCTATGTTAACTTTGGAATGGAAGGTTTTGTTTTTGTAGAATATGTTATTTTCATGCAATTCTGTAAGTCTAAGATCGTCATCTACAGTTCTGCTCTTAAGAACACAAGTTTTATGACACGCTCGGCTTAAGAAACCAAAAGTGTCTAAAGTACTTTATGTTACCAACCAAATTTGGCTGCTGCACTCATTAAGAATGCAACTTAAAAAATTTTGGTTAACAAAAAGAGTAATTTGATTATACAAGATCTTGTATACTGAATAATTTATAATAATCTACCACTGTCTAAAAGTGTAAGAATCAAAACAGCCATCTAATTTAGTTTCAGAATTATAGATGAATACAGATAATTATAGGTGACCCAATTCCAACTAAAAAATCCAGAGTTGACAACTCCAGATATGTAGCCATGCTTGTGTCTTTCTAGTCACAGCTCAACCTACCCTTCAGTTTGAAGCAGTGTGGTGCCATGGTGAAGACTACTGATTTTAGAGCTTTGAATCTCGGTTCTTATTACTATGTGACCTGTGTGACCTTGGGCAAGGTACTCAATTTCTCTACAATAATGGACATAACAGTACTACTTCTCAAAAAAAAAAAAAAAAAAAAAAAAAAAAGAAACAGTACTACCTCACTGAGTTTTGGAGAGGATTAGTGAATTAATACATCAAGTGCTTAGAATAGTATGTGACACACGGCAAATACTTTTTACATTTATATATATATATACATATATATGATTTGTATACAAATAAATTTGCTAGTATTTGTATGGTAGTTTTGAGAATGGTCTTCACAGTTCAAAAGTAAGTTACAGATTATGGATGCAATAAATGCTTGTGTATATTTTACAAAACTCATAAATATAGTATCTTTCATGTTGATCCAAAATAGAGTTCTGCCAACTACATTTAATCATATTTGGTCAAATAGATGAAGTAAATTAAAACTTTCAAGTTTCAAAGCAGCATGTGTTACATCTGAGTTTCTTCTTAGGACTTTTGGGTAAAAACAGTTGTCATATTTTAAATTTTACAAATCCTAGGTTTGACTAGTAGGAATGTGTATTTGTTGAAAGATGACTATATCAATTTGTTTTAACGTATATTTTTTATTCATATAAAAGTTTTTTATTTCTAAATATGCCAGTGAACTCTTCTCCTAAATCTGAATAAATTTCTACATATCTGCAAATGAAAATATCAAAATGTACCAAGTATCTCTTAAAGAGATAAAAAGGTAATTTTCCAAAAGTATAAACCTTGCATGTCCATCATTTACTACGTGGCAAATGAAACATACCTCTCCAACATATTCCATGACAAAACTCATTCTTTTAATCTTCACAAGGGTCTTTACACCCCAGCCACGTCCATTGCTAGTTCGAAAGATGCAAAGCGAATACTGTGTGCCTTTTTGTACAATCCTATTGGGACAATCAGGACCACACTGACACCTTGAGTTGCATTCATAGATGGGAGTACCAGGTGGGATTTTAATTTGTTGGTTTTTATTATAAGCCAAAAGAACTCCAGCTTCAGCAGGACAACATTTTTGAAAGAAGCAATCTGTGCATGAACAACCAAAGGTAGCTTCATTGACTAAGCTGATTCCAGGAGCTGGTTTGTATTCGTTAATGTAATAGAAGTCTGAAGGTGGGCCCTCTAAATCAACAGTATTTTCAACAAATATCATTCCTTTATGATTCTTTCTTCTGTTGAGTTCATCTTGCCATCTCTGCAGAGCTATCCTTTGTTTAGCCTTCTTCACAATGTACTCAGCAATGGCAGGTTTCAAAGTTTTGTTATTGTCTTTTGGAGTTATTGCTTTGCCTTTCTTTACCTGAGATAAATAATTATGCTTGTCATTAGAGAATTGCTGAAGCAGTAACGGGCACTTCAGATTTTGCAAAGGTTCCCAAGTATTTGTAGAATCTGGCCATCCTTTCCATTTTACAAGATAATATTCCATATCCTTAAAATACAAAAGAAAATAAAATGCAAATCAGACGGCTATTTCCCAGTTTTACCAAAAATAATTAAAAATCTTAAAGAGTAAGGTATCCAATACCATTTTTCTTACTAACAGTTCAGAACATGTAGTCACAGGTTCCTAACACATGAAGTATAAATCATACAAATAAAACTATTTTTCCTTATATTACATAAAATATGGAATTTAGATGTGGCATAACATGTTTGATAAGAGGCTAAAGAGTTTTACCTGGAAAAAGACAAAGGTACTGAAACTGATGACTATGTTACTAAATGGTGATTCAGGTTAAACCCAGATGTATTTATTTTGATCATGGAAATAAATGGTCCCAAAGCTAACTCTTTATGACCTAGGTTAGTGGCTTACTTGGCCAGCAATAGATTCAGGCATTCTTAACGTCCATAACTTAATATCAAACACCAGACACAAGGGAACTCATTTCTCAACATCATGGGCACACATTCTCTAGATGTTCTAGAGATGAACTATCCAATACGGTTATTACGAGCCACATACAGCTACTGAAAACTTGAAATGTGGCCAATCTGAATTGAGATATGCTTAAAATATAATACACACTGAGGCTGGGCACGGTGGCTCATGCCTGTAATCCCAGCATTTTGGGAGGCCAAGGTGGGTGGATCGCTTGAGCCCAGGAGTTCGAGACCAGCCTGGGCAACATGGGAAAACCCCATCTTTACTAAAAACACAAAAATTAGCTGGGTGTGGTGGTGCACGCCTGTAATGCCAGTACTAGGGAGGGTGAGGCATGAGAATCGCTTGAAACTGGGAGGCAGAGGTTGCAGTGAGCCAAGATTGCACCACTGCACTCCAGCGTGGGCGACAGAGTGCGAGACTCAGTCTCAAACAAACAAAACAAACAAACAAAAAAAAAAGCAAAAAAAAAAAACCCACACTGAATTTTGAAGACTTTGTATCATACAAAAAAAAGAACACTAAGTAACTTAAAACTATTACAGGTTGAAATAATATTTTGGATATATTGGATCAAATACATTCTTGAAAGCAATTTCAGCTGTTTCTTTTTACTTTGTTCAATGTGGTTAGTAGATGTTGAATGGCATCTGCAGCTTGCATTACATTTCTATTGGACAGCTCTCTTCTAGAGAATGCTGATTTTATTTAGACTCACCCATGACTGGATTAGGTAGCAGGCACTCAAGCCACCTAAGAGCAACTATTCTAATCTATCCCTCAGACTGTTGTTGGCCACGATGCCTTGGCAACAAGGCACCATGGTATCTTGTCTTTTCACTCCAATGACTATGTTTTCCTCCCTTAAAGTAAGGCAATGCCACGTTTAAGTTTCTTTTTAAAAAGGCAGTTCCGGCTGGGTGCGGTGGGTCACGCCTGTAATCCCAGCACTTTGGGAGGCAGAGGTGGGTGAATCACTTGGGGCCAGGAGTTCAAGACCAGCCTGGCCAATATGGCGAAACCCTGTCTACTAAAAATACAAAAAATTAGCCGGGTGTGGTGGCAGGCACCTGTAATCCCAGCTACTTGGGAGGCTGAGGCAGGAGAATCGCCTGAACCCAGGAGGAGGAGGTTGCAGTGAGCCAAGACTGTGCCACTGCACTCCAGCCTGGGCAAAAGAGTGAGACTCCATGTCAAAAAAAAAAAAAATAAAAGTAAAAAATAAAAGATAAAAAACACAGTTAAGTGTGTCTAACAAATTTTGAAGTAAAGTCTCAGTAATTTTTTTTTTCTTCTGGAATAATATATAGCCACATGCCCAAGGGTAACATTAGATCATAAAATGTCTTCTAAGATAAAAAGGTGATTAAACTGCATTGGACAGTTACATTATCATTTTAAGTCTTAGATACTGAAAAATCTTGTTAATTGAGATAACTGCTTTTCCCTGAAAATTTTAAGAAAGTTTTTATTACAAAGTACAGAGGTCCATGACAGTTGTTTTAACAGTCATAATGCATTAATGACAAAAGGTCTAAGCCATGTGATATCTGCCATGTTGCTGAGGCACAAATTGGGCTGAGGGACACCATGAGGCAGCTGTGCAGGAACCAGGCGCCCACCCAGGAGTGGGCTTATTTTATCCCCACTATCTGCATCTTAATATTTTGTTTCATTATATTCTATTCAACAAGCAGTAATCTTTGTGAATTAAAAACTTTGCGGCCGGGCGCGGTGGCTCACGCCTGTAATCCCAGCACTTTGGGAGGCCGAGGCGGGCGGATCACGAGGTCAGGAGATCGAGACCATCTTGGCTAACACGGTGAAACCCCGTCTCTACTAAAAATACAAAAAATTAGCCGGGCGTGGTGGCGGGCGCCTGTAGTCCCAGCTACACGGGAGGCTGAGGCAGGAGAATGGCGTGAACCCGGGAGGCGGAGCTTGCAGTGAGTCGAGATCGCGCCACTGCACTCCAGCCTGGGCGACAGAGCGAGACTCCGTCTCAAAAAAAAAAAAAAAAAAAAAAAAAAAAAACTTTGCTTTCTTTTGAAAATTGGTCAAAAGTTTTCTTCTCTTAAAAAATGTGATTACATGGTGTGCAGAAATGCACAAAAACTGTAATTCTGTGGAAATATATATTGCGGTTCCAGGAAAAAAAAAAAAAAAGCCTAGATGTACATTTTAGTATTTGTCAAATTGAGCCCCACTAAAGCCTAAGGATTTCTTCCTCCTTTCAGGTGACCGCTACAATTCAGGACTGCTGTTAGTGGGTATCTGTTCACACTCTAGCAGATACAAGATCCAACTGGCAGCATCTAACTTTTCTACTCCCCTTAATTCTAAACATTTTAAATTTTTCAGATGCTAGAATAAAGCAATGCAACCCTGGTCCTTTTTCTTTTTTTTGGCTACAGTGTTTCCTATCATAGCCCTGGGTTATGCCAAGTGTTCCAGCAAACAATCAAAGAAATAGAAATGATGGCTTTAAGTCAATGGTTAAATCATCCAGGAACACTAAAAACATCTGCCACTGAAGTTATTTCCCAAATAATTAATTGTATTTAATCTTAGTGAATCACTTGCATTTTAAATGACCAAGTTTTGTATGCTAATCACATTGGTACCTACTTGAATTTATGAACAGGAAATATGCTTATAAAACATGAATGCTTATAGCAGACTAGCATAGAAATATTAGTAAGATTTTGTTTCAACTTGGTAGACTTGACTTTTATTTTATAAGCATATTTTATTTTTAAAATCCAGAAAAGATATTTCCTCTTTGAAAAATGATTTTACACAGAAAACCACTTTAAGAATAAGCTAAAATGCCAAATAAAGGCCAAAAAGTTCATAAGCTTATTACATCAATATCTTATTCTGATATGTAATCAACTCTTGATTACCTATAGAAATGGAATCCCAGTGGCAAAAACGATCCATAAATCACTCCTATGTAATTTGGAATACATCATATGAATTTTTTTTTAAAGCCACTTCCCGGCCAAGGCGGGTGAATCACGAGGTCAGGAGTTCGAGAACAGCCTGGCCAACATGGTGAAACCCCATCTGTACTAAAAATACAAAGGCCGGGCGCGGTGGCTCACGCCTGTAATCCCAGCACTTTGGGAGGCCGAGGCGGGCGGATCACGAGGTCAGGAGATCGAGACCATCCTGGCTAACACGGTGAAACCCCGTCTCTACTAAAAATACAAAAAATTAGCCGGGCGAGGTGGCGGGCGCCTGTAGTCCCAGCTACTCGGGAGGCTGAGGCAGGAGAATGGCGTGAACCCCAGGGGGCGGAGCCTGCAGTGAGCCTAGATTGCGCCACTGCACTCCAGCCTGGGCGACAGCGAGACTCCGTCTCAAAAAAAAAAAAAAAAAAAAAAATACAAAAAATTAGCTCGGCATGGTGGTGGGCAGGCACCTGTAATCCCAGCTACTTGGGAGGCTGAGGCAGGAGAACTGCTTGAACCTGGGAGGCGGAGGTTGCAGTGAGCTGAGATCAAGCCACTGCACTCCAGCCCAGTCTGAGTGACAGCGCGAGACCCCGTCTCCAAAAAAAAAAAAAAAGACATTTCCCCCAACTATCTTCGGTGTCAGTTAAAGTCATTCAAATATTTTAGGATCTATAATAAGTATATGAACGTTTGGTCACTAGGGGGTATAGGGAAATATATTACTAGCCTTTAGGAGTAAAATCTCTTAGGGAAGAGGCAGCAGTAATGTGAAATAAGTAGCAACCTAAGGCATTATCACCAGAATATAGAGGGAAATCAATGCAGCTGAGACAATGAGAAAAGGGAAGACAGAAAGCAGTACACACTACACTCTGAAGGAGTGAGAGCAGTGATTGAGTAGGGAACATGGCAGGATGAAAAACGTGGGCAAAAGCTGGGAGCTAAGATTTGCATGAAGTATCTAAAAAATAGTGAAAAGATGGATCTGTCTAGCTTTAAGGTTCGGAATGTTGAAACAAGCTAAAACTTGTCATGGTAAGGCAAGAACAAATTTTAAACAACCATAACACTCACTTCACTGAGACACTTGAACTTTATTGTAGGCCGGTGGTTCTTAAAGTTCTCAGAAACCATGGTGCCTCTAGGGGAGCTTCATGAAGTACATTTAACTCCATCTTGTTAGTTAGGAACAATTTTACAAATCTATTAATTGCCAAACCCACGGACTCTTCAGCCCTTCTCTTATTTTACCTCTCTAAGGCGGCAGCCACCACCTAACCATTTCTCAGACTTCCTTCTTGCTCCTCTGTATTTTCCTTGCTGAGACTGCTTCCCCTGACCATCACTTACACGATGGAGACACTCAGGACCCTGTCTGGCATCCCTTTTCACATGAACCTGTTTATCCCTTTGGAGAATGTGATGAAAGCGATGGACTTTTCTCTAACAAAAACCACATATAAAACGTTTTGGGTAATTTCAGGATATTTAGATTCCGGGTTTAGAGAATTCCTACTACAAACGATCTCTTTGGACAACCTCATCACCCCAGAGTTTTAACTAATAATTATATGCTGATGACTCTCCAAGTTTTAACTGCAGCCCAATATATCCAATAGCCTACCGGATGGTTCTTAAAGCAACCTATCGACATGTAACTCACCACTGTCCTTCCATATCAGATTATTTCTTTATTCCTTATCATGGTGAATCTTACCTGTCCACCTACTCACACAAGCCAGAAACCAGGTTATCTCAATTCCTTCTTCTCCTCAATCCAATCATCACTAAGTTTCTTTAGAGATGGACTTCTTCCTGTCCATCTCTATTTCTATAGGGTTAGTTACTTCAGGCCCACAATTCTTGCCTGCATTCTTAAACATTAATCTTCCAACTAGTTTCCCTACTCCAGACTTACAGCTTCAAACACTCTATCCTTCTTTACTATGGAGTTTTTTTTGTAAAAACAAAAAATCCACAAAACCAGTTATCCTGTTGTTATTTTGCTTAAAAACTGTTAATGGTTTCCACCCTGCCTAGGGAACAAAGTTCAAAGTTCCTCTTTTCAGAAAGCAAGCCACTCTGGAACTGTTCCCTGATGCCTCTCTGGCTCCATCTTCCATCATGGCCCCATTCACACAACACACACTGGCCACAATGAACAACTTGCCAGGCCTTTTGATGCCCCTGCTGCTTTGTTCACAAAGTTCTCCCTAATTAGGAGGGCCTTTCCCACTGGTCCAATGAATGCTCATCTCATCTTTTAAAACGGTGTAAATATCACCTCTTCTATGAAGTCTTTCCTGTCTCTCATACCCAAGAAGAACTGATCACCATCAACTCCTTTTTGTTCCAATTTCCAATTTAAACTCTAAGTTATTTGCGGGAAGGGATGGAATCTTATTTTTTATAGCCCCCAAATGAGCACAACTGCCCACCATATCTTAGGCTGTGACTAAATGTTTCTGAATGTATAACAAAAAAATAGGAGTACCAAAAGGTATGTAATATACAAATCACAACAATAACTGTATGAGTTCTTAAAGGAAATACAAGCTGATAAACTTGGAGGTAGCAATTCACGGTTTCTCAATATTTGTCACCTGCTGTCTATAGCCAACAAGTGGCAGCAAACACCAAAACTTTAAAAGAAACATATGAGAAGACAAAGTACAAAAAAATTTTGTCTTTCCACTAGGTAATTTTTTCTGCCAATTTTGAAATAATCATCATATTCAATATCAGTGTTAAAATAACCTGCATCTGGCTGGGCACAGTGGCTCACTTTGGGAGGCTGAGGCAGGAGGATTGCTTGAGCCCAGGAGTTGGAGACCAGCCTGGACAATATAGTGAGACCTTGTCTCTACAAATTAGCAGCATGTGGTGGCACATGCCTGTGGTCTTAGCTACTCAAGAGGCGGAGATGCGAGGATCGTTTGAGCCTGGGATGTCAAGGCTGCAGTGAGCCAAGATCAGGCTACTGCACTCCAGCTTGGGCAACAGAGTGAGACCCTGTCTCTAAATAAATAACTGGAATTTGATTATGAAAACACCAGTGGTTCCATGGGAGCATAGTCTGAGAACTATTATAGTCAATGGAAAAATCACTGAATTTTCATGCCAGTAAGAGTAGGAATTGTGATAGCTGGGTTAGACACCCAGAATTGAAAAAAGTGAGCCACATGACATTGATTGTTAAAGTATTTTCTTAGAGCTGTAATTTCCTGATCTCTCAAATACAGGTTGTAGTATAATGATTTCTGTTATTCTAGTTCTTAACCACTCTAGGTTCAATCAGTGTTTCAGGAATATCACTATATTGTCAGATGTGGACTATCATTAATTTGTGCCACGCCATATAGAGGTGGTTCTCGAAACACAAAAGTACCTGTATACTTTAAGAAACCAAAGCTATAGGCAATATTTGTTGCTCAGCTTACTAAGCTATGTGCATGTCCATCAATGTGTACAGAGGATCTTGTTCTTAACTGAACTATCTTAAATACCCATAGTTTTGTCAGAAATTATTCTGTATGAAGGGGTGATGTAGCAACAATAATGCTGCAGAAAAATCACCTTGCATTGAGACTCAATACTACTACAATTAACACCCTTTAAGTTCAACTTGACCCTTCACATGAATTCATAATAGTAACAACCCTTTTTCCTGCCCCCACAGAATTTTTTCCATTTCTCAAGTTGGCTATTTTAGACCTCCTCCACTTTGCTCAAGGTTCCCACCCCTACCTCCTGTGTTATTTTCAGTGATGTATGACCTTTGTTACTAATGCAAAGAGAAAATGGAAACCACCAGGCATTAACTGCCTTAACTGCCAGCCTTCCATGGCCATGGAGCTAGAGATAAGGTGGATGCAGACATGAAAAGAGAGACGCACTTCCTCGGTCAATTCTTCTTGTCTCTTCAGTATCTCCCTCTGCTGGTTCTCACTAGCATTTAAACAGGCTCCATTTTTAAAAAGCAAAATAAAACTAAACCTCCTCTGAGATATAAACTTTTGTATATGTAGGGAATCTCTAAAAGACATATTAAGTTGCTAAGACAGAGACTGAAACTAGGTCATGGGGTAGATGTCAGTATCTGACCTTTTATAACATTCATTTTCTAAAACTACATGCATAATACCTCCTCAAAATTAAAAAAAAATTACTATCACAATGGTCTTTTCAAAAAAACTTGAAAAAAATTATAAACACCCTTATACCCATGTAGCCCTCTCGTTTTCTTGAAAGCTAGGATTCATGGAAGAATTGTCCATACTACTTGACTCTACTTTCTTACCTCCGGTTAATTTTTTTTTTTTTTTTGAGACAGAGTTTCACTCTTGTAGCCCAGGCTGGAGTGCAATGGCACGATCTCAGCTCACTGCAACCTCTGCCTCCTGGATTCAAGCTATTCTCCTGCCTCAGCCTCTCAAGTAGCTGGGATGACACGAATGTGCCACCACGCCCGGCTAATTTTGTATTTTTAGTAGAGACAGGGTTTCTCCATGTTGGTCAGGCTGATTCGAACTCCCGACCTCAGGTGATCCGCCTGCCTCAGCCTCCCAAAGTGCTGGGATTACAGGCGTGAGCCACTGCACCCGGCCTGGTTCATTCTTTAATTCATTCCTTTGGCTCTTCTCAGAGGTGCTCTAAGGGCATCAGTGACCCTCCATTACTAAATACAGTGGATTCTTTCCAGTTCTCTGACCTACTGTTTAATACTCTCCTGCTGACATCATCTTTTCTCTGGTTCCCATGATTTACTCTTCCCATTTTCTTTCTTTTTTTTTTTGAGACCGAGTCTCGCTCTGTCACCAGGTTGGAGTGCAGTAGTGCAAACTCGGCTCACTGCAACCTCCGCCTCCTGGGTTCAAGAGATTCTCGTGCCTCAGCTTCCCAAGCAGCTGGGATTATAGGCAAGCGCACCACCATGCCAAGCTAATTTTTATATTTTTAGTAGAGACGGGGTTTCACCATGTTGGCCAGGATGGTCTCAATCTCCTGACCTCATGATCTGCCCGCCTCGGCCTCCCAAAGTGCTGGGATTACAGGTGTGAGCCACTGCGCCCGGCCAACTCTTCCCATTTTCTGACTACCTCTCTTGCCAGTGTGTCTCAGACTCTGACAGTCCTTCCTATGAGTGTCCCCACCTACTCCTCAGGGCTCATCCTCAATCCTTGTTTTCTGCTCACATTTGCTTTGCTTGGGCTACTGCAATCGCCTCTTGCCACCCTCAACCCATTCAGGGCACAACAGCCAGAGTCATGTTTTCAACACATACATCTCAGCATGCTGCTCCCCTGCTTAAAACTACTAAATGGTTCTCTACGCCCTTAAGAGGAAGTCCAAAATCCTTTCCTCGGCCTATGAGGAGCCGCACACTCTGGGGCCTGCCCACCCCGCCAGCCTCACATGCTCCCTCTTACTTGCTCTGTTCCACTCACACCCTCTATTCCTTGAAGGCCCTCTTTCTACTCCTTGAAGTCAGGCTGTCTTCTGCCTCGAAATCCCTCCCACATATCCCTTTCTTCCTTTAGTACTAAGTTGAAACATCAGTTCCTCAGGGATACCTGCCCAGTCTCTCCAGGATAAGTGAGATCTTTCTGTCACATCAACACTTACGTCAACTACAATAAGTACTTTGTCCAACTGTATTTAAGGTATTTCTACCCTCACTGAACGATAAACTCTGTAGTATCAGGGACCGTACCCTCACATCAGTCATTGCTCAGATTCCCAATTCCTAGTGCAGGACATGGTAGATGGCCAGTAAATATTGGCTGAGTTCATGAACAGGAAACTGCATCCACTCCCAAGGCTTCCCTCTCTATCTTTTTGCCAATTACTTTAGGATCTATGTTTCTAGTTAGATCTCACTACTGATTTGAGCCCCACTTCCAGTTGGTTTAAGTTCCACTTAAAATGTCTTCAAGAAAGTACATTTTGAAAGTACTCAAGAAAGTTGAGTATGTTTTAAGTAGAACTTAAACCCACTGGAAATGGGTCCCCAAACCCAATCTAGTTCCTACTCCTGTATTCCTGGTGAACAGTAATACTGTCTACACCACTGCCCAAGTCAGAAACCTGTATTTTCCTAGACCTGGCACCTTCACTACCAGACCCCCACCCAACCCTGTGACCACAAGCCACAGACATACATTTTACATCCTTATTTTTTTTTAAAAAACAAAAGAACCGTGCACCTACTTTTCCTTGACATCGTTAATACTTTAGTCCAAGCACCATTGTTTCTGGTCTGGTTACTATGACAGCCATTCAGAACATGCAGCCATGCACGTGTTATTCCTTTCCCTATCAATCCCCTTTCTTTTTTGCAGAGAGAAAATTCTCTCAATTACAAACCTGATGTGTCACTCTCTTTAGAACCTGCCAACTAACTCCCCATTGCCTTAGGATGGCTGAAAAATCCTTCACTCACCTCTTTCTTTCCCACATCCATCTCCGACCACCTCATTCTCCAGACAGAAGCCCTAGTCAATTACAATGCTCGCCTTTTCAGGCTCCACTTGGACATCACTTCTGGGAAGCTTTCTGTGACCTATCCAAGGTGCACCTCCCACAGATCTTCTAACGATGTTTGCCACAGCACTTTTTATACATCTACACTGCAACGGGTTATTTCTTTGTCAAACTTTCTCACTAGGCTGTGAGTTCTTTATAGTGAGGGAGTTTCTTATTAATCTTTCTATTCCCAGTGCCTAACACAGTGTCTGGCACACAGAAGAAACTCAAATATTTGTTGAGTAAGTATACGAGAAAAAGAAACAGGAGATACGAGTCAACAGAATGCTGCTATCATCTAAGCATGAAGCCAGGAAGGCCTAGTCTAATAGTGAATGTAGGCCCTAGAAACATGACCGAAGCAAAAGACAATTCAATTCAATGACCATGGACCAAACACCCGTTCTGTACCGGGACTAAAATGAGACATAGTCCTGGCCCTCAAATGGTGGATGATTTGGCAGGGAAGATCTGATATAAACAAGACCATAAAGTGCGACAAGTTCTAGAGTAATGGCAAGAATGGTGCTTTGTAAATCCTGAACATAAATCAACTAATTTTGCTGGAGGTGAGGAAGGGCAGGTGGTTCTACAATAGGTGGTGACCTATGCACTGAACTGTGCAGGCTGTGTAGGATTTTGCGGTCCAGGGAAGAGAAATGGTAGTATTCTGAAGAGGGAAATGGATGAGGAAAGGGGACACAAAAGTGCATGATATGTTCAAGGCATTAGAATATAAGCTGGGTCTGTTCTTCAGCTATGTTTCCAATGCTTAGAACAGTGCCTAGCTCATAACAGGTGCTCAGTACATCTTAGCTAAATGAAATGATCTATAAATATTTCAATTTCAGAAAATAGGATATATGACAAGAGATGAGGCTGGAAAGGTGGCGGGTGGCCAGATGATAAAGAACCTTGGTCCTATGCTAACATGTCTCAGATGAGACTGTTAAATAGGGAACCATGAAAAGGTCTAAAGCAAGGCTTGAATGCAATCAGAGCTAGGTTTAAGAAACAACTATAATGGCACGGTAGACTATGGTATTGAGACAGTATCTTTCATGAGCTAAGTGAAGGTGGTCACACAAGAAAAGGACAAGGTCATAAGATCCTTCACCTACTCTGAATTTGTAAAAGAAAGAGAAAGAGAAGAAAAAAGGCAGAGGTATGCTAAAGTAATGCTGGCTTAGAGATTCAATATCTGTGCCAGACAGAAGAAATGGGGGATGTATGTGGGGTACTGAGGACATAAGAGAGCAAAGGAAGGTCACTTATTCCGAAGCAAGAAAAGGGATGAACTGATGAGAAAGACTAAGAAGAAACTAAACAGCAAAAATGATCTGAAACTGAACTACAACACTCAGGATTCCACACAAGAATCTTGGTAGCTCCCTTAATGTAAGCACAGACCCGTAAGTAACTATTACTAATTCTCTCTGTGAAAGCACAGCAGGAATGAACAGGAAAGGACAGAGAGATAGAGATAACATAATATGATAACCCATTAGATTTAGAGAGTAAAAAGAAACGAAGAATTAAAGATATATGCAATCATGAGGTTAGGTAAGTGGGAGAATTATGTTTCTGTTAACCAAGATAGGGAACACTAGTGCAAAATCCAGGTATGAAGGAGGAAAATAGGTGCAGTTTTGAATGTGAACTTGGATACCTGTAGGGTATCCAGTTCGCAATGAAGCCCAGAAAGGGCTCAAGGCCTCAGAAAGATTGAATGAGCCAAACACATACAAGTAGAAACCACTGGGAAAGAGGCTGCCTACAGAGCAACTACAAGGTGAGAAGGCCAAGAACAGGGCCTTGAAGACTATCAACATTTCAGAGGAGAGATAAGAGATAGTAAAGGAGGTTCATAAAGAATAGTAAGAAAAACAGGTGGAAAAGAAGTAGGAATAGAGGTAAGAATAATCACAGTAAGCACTCACATAGTATAATTACCACGCTGGCCTTTGTTCCACGCATTCTATCTATGTTAACTCATTTAATGCTAGTAACACCCTGTAAGAATAGTACAATAATGATCCTTGTTTCAAAGATGAAGAAACTGAAAGACAGAAAGGCTAAGTAACTTGCTGAAGATCACACAACTTATAAATAAGGGGCAAATGTTAAACCTAGACAATTTCTCCATAGACGAGAGTTTCAAAGAGGAAAAGGTAGCCAACAGTGTTAAATGGGGAAAAGTTGAATAAGATGCAAGGTCTTCAAATCTGACGACTAAAAGGTCACTGAGGGGCACAAGTCAGAATAAGGTGGGTTAAAAAGCTAATGGGAAGTGGAAAGACAACTCACAGAATGGGAGAAAATTTTTGCAAATCACATACTAATAAGGGATTTGTATCCAGACTATATGAAGTATGATTCCAAGAATAAACAGACAATCCAATTTTTAAAATGCGCAAAGGATCTGAACAGACATTTCTCCAAAGATATACAAATGGCCAATAGGCACAGGAGATGCTCAGTATCATTAGTCAGAAAAATACAAATCAAAACCACAATGAGATGCCACTTCAAACCTACTAGGAAAACTATCATCAAAAAGTCAGATAACATCATGTTTTGGCCAGGATGTGAAGAACTGAAACTCATACACTGCTGGTGGAAATGTAAAATGCAGTGCTTTGGAAAAGAGTCTGGCAGTTCCTCAAACAGTTAAACACAGAGTCACCATATGACCCAGCAATTCCACTCCTCGTTATATACCCAAGAACCATGAAAACTTATGTCCACACAGAACCCTGTAGGCGAATGTTCATAACAGCCTTATTTATAATAGTCCGAAAATGGAAACAACTCAAATGGCCACGAAGTGATGAATAAGTTAAATGTGATATATCCATACAATGAAATATTATTTGGCAATAAGAAGGAATGAAGTATTGATATATTTCACAACATGAATGAACCCTGAAAACACGCTGAGTGAAAGGGGCCAATCACAAAGGACCACATATGGTATGATTCCTTTTATATGAAATGTCCAACCAGGCAAATGGACAGACAGATGTAGTGGCTGCCCTACGGCTGGAGGTAGAAGGGTAACTGAGGAAGTCTGGGGGTAACAGGTGGTAGCTAAGGGGTTTACTGTTTCTTTTTGGGATAATGAAAAGTGTTCTAAAACTGACTCCTAAAGTATACTAGAAAATCTGTGGGATTTTTTTTTTTTTTTTTTTTTTTTTTTTGAGACTGAGTCTCGCTCTGTTGCCCAGGCTGGAGTGCAGAGGGGTGATCTCAACTCACTGCAACCTCCACCTCTGGAGTTCAAGCAATTCTCCTGCCTCAGCCTCCTGAGTAGCTGGGATTACAGGGGCCCGCCACCATGCCCGGCTAATTTTTGTATTTTTAGTAGAGACGGGGTTTCACTATGTTGGCCAGGCTGGTCTCAAACTCCTGACCTCGAGTGATCTGCCCGCCTTGGCCCCCCAAAGTGCTAGGATTACAGGCGTGAGCCACCGTGCCCGGTTTACAAAATCTGAATTGTACACTTTAAATAGGTGAGCTGTATGATAGCATGTGAATTATATCTCAACAAAGCTGTTAAAAAAATTAATGGGACATGCAGTAGTAGAAAAAGACAGAAAACACTTGCATGAGGGGAGAGGCAAGGCCAAAGAAAATCTCTGAAGGTTAGGGAAGATCTGAATGTGTTTACTGACTGAGATATATCAGTAAAAAAAGAGAGCTTGATGTAAACAAGACATCAGAGAAGAAAAAAAGTCTGGCGGGGTGCAGTGGCTCACGCCTGTAATCCCAGCACTTTGGGAGGCCAAGGCGGGCAGATCATGAGGTCAGGAGTTTGAGACCAGCCTGGCCAACATGGTGAAACCCCATCTCTACTAAAAAATACAAAAATTAGCTGGGCATGGTGGCGGGCACCTGTGGTCCCAGCTACTCAGGAGGCGGAGACAGGAGAATCGCTGGAACCCAGGAGGTGGAGGTTGCAGTGAGCTGAGATCGCACGACTGCACTCCAGCCTGGGCGACAAGAGCGAGACTCTGGGCCTTTAAAAAAAAAAAAAAAAACTCCTATAGGGGGTAGATAGGAAGAAAAAAGAAAAATGGTGACACCTCTGGAAGTAAGAATAAGTGTGAACAGCTGGTGGTGAAGGTAAGTTGAGAGTTTACAAATGAAAGATCCTATTTTTCATTGAGGTAGGAGGTCTTCAGCAGAAAATGAGAAATGGATAGAGTAAGAAACCCAGAAAAGTAATCCAAGTTGGAAAACCTGCTGACAAGAATGGGAAAAGCAAGCAAGATAAAAAGCTTGTCAGGTAGAACTGAGCAGTGTGAGAACAGAAATAAGTTATAATGGGGCTGATATGCATGATTGTATAATATTCTCAGCTGGACTGGTCAGTCCATAGCTTGTAAACTGAGATGGCAGATGACTGGGGCTGTTTCAGGGGCCGAAGGATGCTGAGAGTGCAGGTGAGATGCATGGGCATAAGATCCCACTGAGCAGGGAAGGCAGTGATACTAAAGAACTTGAAAGAATGGGATTTAGTGACTGATTCAATATAGAAGATGAAGGAGGAAAATAAAGACTTAAACAAGATTCCCGATTCACTTATCTGATAGATTTGGTAGATTAATGACCAAAACAGTTCTTGGAAAGTGAGGTAGGCTATAGACAGATGAATTACTCAAAAATATACAGTTTAGATCAAAAAATCTTTTGAGAACAACTCTGCCGTTTTTTAAGAGCAATAAAGGAAGGCTTAGAGAAGTGAAACGAGTTTGCTTAAGTCCTAAGGTACTAAACAAAAGCTGGAAATGACTTTGCAATCCAGGCCATTCTATTATAACCTAGAACCTGACTAAATCTGGAGTGTGACAAGATGGCAGGAAATGCAAATGGTGATGTTCTTGAGAGTCAGTAACACTAAAATTGGTTTGAAACGGTAGGTTCATTTCAGGTGATAGTGGGGAAATACGATCCACGAACAAAACGAAAGACAATTGGAGATCAAACATTTGCTCTGGTAACCCACACGGAGATAATCAAGAGTTGGATGTAGAGGGATATGAGCACCTGAAAATATTCTAATGCAAGAACACTTTATGCTTCAAAATCCTCTCAATGCTATTTGGCAACACAGATGATAGGACATATAAATTTATCATGCCTTAGAATTTTAAACATTAAGAAGAGCTTTTCTTTTAATGTTCTTTTTATGTTACAGAAATACGAAATACTGAAGTCTGATTAGGTCTCTTGTAAGGGGCTAGATATTTGCCTTACCTTTACTACCTTGTAGTCACACAAGTATTCCACCTCATAATTGTTTAGATTCCTTTTGGTGATTCCAATCGATTTACATGTGAGCTTTTCTTTTCTACATAATTCCTGAAGAGTATCAAGTGAAACTAGGCAAGGCACACACCAAGCTACAATAAGAAAATAGAATTCTTTACTAATGAAATAGCTATTCAATTAAAACAAAAAAGAGAAACTTAAAACCTCTATTCCCCATCTTTCAACTGGCAATTTTAGACTAAAAATTCCTATGACAAGAAACCAGTTACATGTCTTCAAGAAAAAGTTAAACATTAAGGAACTATTTTGTTAAATTGGTGTTCTTGGATTTTCTCATGGATTTCTATTCCACTACGTTTAACTGACATCAGTTAATTTCCATTAAGTCACTTGAAAATGTTTCATGTCTGTAAGCTTTTTTAAGATTATATACAGATGCAGGTCAACAGAGATAATGTTTTTCACTTTCATTGTATTCTACATAGACTACAATCACTATTTTAATAAAATGTAAATCTCTAGGACACTTATTCTTAAAAACATATCTAAAATATACTTTAAAACAATCTTATAATTTGTTAACACGTAACTTTCATTTTTTTTAACTGGACAAAACGAACTGAAATCTAATTAAAATATATTTCTACGGTTACAAACTCATTATATGTTAGTTTTCTCTTTGATATGTTGCATGAAGCTTTAATTCCACTTATTATTCTACCCATACTGCAATATATTATCACCAAGGTGAATAAACTCCAGTTATTAAAAAAATGGAGTATATCGATATTTTGTAATACTTATGGACTGTACTGTTTTTAAAGCCAAACTTTTAAAACGGTGTTCAATTTACATAAGCCATGTACTAAACTCAAAGAAAATTAGACATACTCATCATCAACCCTCCAGAAACCAGAAACTAATTGCGTTCCAGAAGATTTCACCCTCAAATTTCTGTAAGCAGCATGTTACCACACTGAATTTAAAGTGTAAATTAACACGTTTAGGAAAATGGAACAAACTTGTTGTTAGGGCTAGTGTCATGGTAAGCACTTGACAAAATCAAAAGTCCTCTGCACTACCCATCGCTCGGTCACCGAGCTATGTGACTTTAGTGAGGTCTCAATCTTTTTGGCTGTCAGATTCACTGGAAAAAAATGGAGAAAACTGGTGTTACCAAACAAAATCTATCAGTAAACTCAAGCTTTACTTGGTAGCTCTCCAAGGTAGTTGCGATCACCTTTTGCGTTTTGAGGTAATTTCAGGGAAGGGAGAACACTTGTTAGTGGCAATAACTTTTCCGGCCCCTTTCCTCATCCTCCCCACCTCACACAGAAACTTCATTGTCAGAAACCCTTAAGCATAATTTCTACCATCTCACTGGCTGCAAACGATTCCATCCTAAAGCAGTAAAGACAAAGGTATTTTCCTCCAGAAAACGTGGGGGAAGAGGCTGATTGGCTTTGTAGTGGTCGTTTGGGGGTAGGACAGTGATGGGAAAGAAATGACCCCCTAAGTCCCTTCCATCTACAAAAACTAGAGAACGTTTTGTGTTAAGCTGACCTCATTAAGGGAATCACGTATAAAGGAGGTTCCTCTTATCTACTCAAGGTGTGTTTGTGTGCTTTTCCTAAACATTTTTATCTAGTTGAGGATTCAAAACACAACCCGCAAAGGAAATGCTCTTTGAAAATTAAAAAAAAAAAAAAAGTGAACATGAAAAACTGCAAACACGTGGTTAAAAAAAGAAAGACAATCTCTCGACAGTCTCCAGTAATGCAGAAAAAGATTTCACTGACAAAATTAAATAGTTCATGACCACCACAAACACCTTCCGCTGGTTCACAGTAACCCCTGACATTCTCCAAGGAGAAAAATTCAGGGATAATGAGGTCATAATCCCAGCGGAGAGGAGACGAGCTTGAAAACACCTTTACATTCCGGAACGCACGGAAAAGTTCCAGGCTCTCAAAGCGTGCGCGACACCAACACCCCCCGACGCCCACACCCACGCGCGCTCGGTGCCCAGTTCCCCGGTGCCCAATTCCCCAGCGTCCACAGAAATAACACCAAGCTCCCGGTGGGTGAAAGAGTTACCGTAAGCCAGAGGCTGCAACCTCAAATACCCACTTTCTGGGCGATTCTCCAACGAGGCACTCAACCTCCTAGCGTGTCCGCCTTGGGGGGGATTCCTCGCTTATCCCCTTTCTTAGCACACAGGCGCCCCGATTTACTCTCCCCCTCTGATATTAAGGTCATGTTCACGCCGGCGGGCGTCGCTTCCCGCCTCCCACTTCAAAGGCCCGGGCGCATGCCGCACGCCGCGCTCGAACCACCACAAAGGAGCCAGTCGCAGCCGTGCCCCCCGGACCTCCAACCGGGGACTGCCGGGGAGCGGCCTCGAAGCCCGAGGCCGCCACGGGAGACGCGGAGGGGGCCGGGCCGAGCGGGCGGAGAGGCCACGCTCCACTTCCGAAGTGCCCCAGGCTCGGACAGTGCCCACCTCCGCGGCGGGAGCCGGCCGGGCAGGGAGGCGGGTCAGCGGCCTGGGGGAGGATAGGCGTCCGCAGCGTGCGTCCCGGAGTTGGGGTCGCGGCGGGCGGGGAACCGCCACGTCGCCATCTGGCTGGCCCGCGGGACGGCCCCGCCGCCCGGGCCTTGGGAGCTTGCCTGGGAACAGGGAAGGCGAGGGGGCCGCGCTCCAGCCTCACCTCCTCGCGCCTCGGCCCCGACCGCCGCCATCTTGTAGAGCTTTCATTCAAACTGGCGCGGTCTGACGGGATAGCTCAGCTGGCCCGACGCCCCGCCCCTGGCCGGCCCGCGCGGGACTTGGGGGCCGGGGCTTGTTGGGGGACGGAACCCGCACGGCGTCCTGACGTCACTGGCGGCCGACCCCCCGCCGCGGCGGCCAGCGCGCCTGCGCCCCAAAGCTAGGCCCGGCCCCAAGCGCGAGGAGCGGGGCGGGGCGAGCGCGCGTGCTCCCGGATCCTCGGCAGTGTCCGGCGCCCCCTTCCCTTCGCCAGGCCCGTTTGGCGCCTTCACTCGGGAAGACGTCGGCCAGGACTTTGCGCTTTGGAGACGTCTTACTTCGGCAGCACTCGCACACTGCGAGATCCGACACGGGCAGCGGGGACCTAGGGAGCCGGGGACGCTGCCTGTCGGGTACGGTTCCGCAGCTACCGCAGCCCCGTGGGCCATGGTTAGTCTCCCCCCGACACCGCTCCCTCTAGAGCTCCGGGCTTCGGAAGCGGCTGCACGTGGGCATGGCTGGAGAGGTTCCGCTGGCTTGGGGCAGTCGCCGGGATTCCGACTGGTTGGTGTGGGGTGTGGCCTGTGCTATCCAGCTCCCAGCTGATCCTAATGTGCGGCACAGCGGAAACCACCGGTCCACATCAGTGCTTCTCACTTAAAGGGGCTTACGAATCGTCGGGGGTGGGGGAGCTGGACTTGGAATTTTTTAAGAGATGAGGTCTCACTCTGTCACCCAGGCTGGAGTGCAGTGGCGCGATTACGGCTCACTGCAGACTAGACCTCCTGGGCTCAACTTTAATGTAAATTGGGATTGGGTAGGTCTGTAAGGGGACCCGAGCTCCCCTCCCATGTTGTTGCCAAGCTCCTGAGCTCGGCCTGGTGGCGGGTGGGGGCCGGGAGGAGAAGGACACGTTAGTAAGGAAGCTGCAGGACGACTCCAGGGGCCTCCCACCTGGTCTCCACCCCCCTCCCCCACCCATTCTTGACGCTGCATCCATGATTGTTCTAAACAACCTAAAGCAGAAATCTTAGAGCAAATAACGAAAACTGGCAGAAGGCCATTTGATATCTCCTTAAAAAATTCATGTAAAAAATTACATAAACGTTTCAAAGCAGTATGTATAAATTTGAAATACTGGAAATGAACGCAGACCATTAAAGGAATAGTTAATTATTTGATTCCATTATGAAATACTGTCTAGCCGTCTTAAAAAGGTGTTCATGAAGCTTTTAGTATTCAGCAAAACCAAAACAAATCCCCCTGAAATATAGTTTTAACTATGGAAGAAAAAAATGTATAGGAAAATAACGAAATAGCCTTTTCGGAGTGATTTTCTTTTTAACTTCTCGTTTTTAAATATTTAATCATTTTCTACGATGGGAAACACCACTTCCTCACACACACTCATGCTCCCAGACTTTATTTAGCTACAAACGGCATCATAATACAAATACTGTTCTGCAGTCCGTGTGTGTTTCAATGCAACTGCATTTCTCAGACATGTTTCTAAGATTTGAGTCCTTAGTAAATTTTGTATTCCATATCTCATTACCTTGAGATAAGGAATAAAAGGCCCTGTCCAACCCTGTCACCTGGAAGAGCATCCAGGCCCTTTAAGGCTTAGTCTATCTAGGATTATGCCTTCAGACTTGGATACAGCCTCCCGTCCTAACCGGCCCCTGTATTCATTACCTCTCCTGTATGTTTTCAGAGCCCACCAAGGAGCGGCCATCGCTACTCACTGGCCACTCTTGAATCCTTTTTGGCTCCTTTTCCTCAGTCCAACCTGGGTTCCTCAGAGAAGAGACTGTAGTCCTGGGACTGCATTTCTTTTCCGCCCTCTCCCTATGTGACTGCCCCAATTCCCATGGATTTAAATAGCATCTTGACACACAAGATGCCTCACTTATCGTCTCCGGCCCTGGCCTCTGCCTGAATTCCAGGCTAGAATATCCACAGTGCGTAATGGACATATGCCCTTAGGTGTTGCACAAACATCTCAAATTGAACATATCCGGAAAAATACACTTCTGAACTTCGTAGCATTCAGAATAAAACTCAAACCTCCAGATGGCCGGCAGGGCCTCCAGTGATGGGAATCCTGTCTCACCTCACTTGGTGCCACTCTCCCCTTTACTCATTTTCCTGGCCTTTCCCCGGCCCCACTTACCCAGAAATCTTTTACTGTGCATCTCCTATGTGCCAGGCACCTGATAGGTGCTGGGAATATAGCAGTGGATGAGAAAGAAAAAAGACCCAGTCCTCATGGAGCTGACTTCCTAGTGACAGGAGCAGCGGATAAAGCAAATCACTGAAGGCAGCTGGAAATTACTTTCCGGTTAAGAGGACAGGCTCCTTCCCCTCCTCACATGGCTACCTTCAGATCACTTGGGTCTCAGCTTAAACACCACCTATTGACAGAGGCCTCGCATGTTACCTCATTCTTTAGCCCTACTTTGCATCCTTAAAAAGCACTCATCAAAATTTGCAATTATCTTGTCGGGTTTTTGTTCTTTGGTCTTGATTCATAATGAATGCATCGCACTATTTTGTAAATCCAGTGTTTCGTTTCGTGTCTTGAATCCCATCCATTCCAGCGCATAGATGAGGCCCTGTCTGTTCAACATTCATCACCGTGTTTACTATCTAGAGCAGCAATTCTCAAAGTATGGTAATTGGGACCCGAAGACTCTTCACAGGGTTCATGAGCGCAAAACTATTTTCAGACCAACATGTTCTCTGCCTTCCTTCGCTCATGAGTACATAGTGGAATTTTCTAGAGGTTACACAATTTGAATATTGCAACACATTGAACGAAGACGCAGGTACCAGAACATAGCTATCTCCTATTAAGCCAGACATTAAAGAGATTTGAAAAAATACAAAATACTGCTTTTGGCTAGGCAAAGTGGCTCGCACGTATAATCTTGGCACTTTGGGAGGCTGAGGAATTGCTAGAGACCAGCCAGGGCAACCCTACTAAAAAATTAGCTGGGCGTGGTGGCACATGCCTGGGGTCCCAGCTACTCAGGAAGCTGAGGTGGGAGGATCGCTTGAGCCCAGGAGTTTGAGGGTGTAGTGAGCTATGATCAAACCACTACATTGCAGCCTGGGCAACAGAGCAAGACCCTGTCTCAAGACAAAAAACAAAAAATAAAACCCCAGATACCACCCTTGCCACTAATTTTTTGTCTTAGAAAAATTATTTCTCATAAAAAATTAACTTTATTACTTAGAAATAATTTTTAAAATTGGTTTTAATTTCCATATGGTAACTATAGTTATATAACTACATTTTATGTATATGTAACAAACAAAAGCTCTATGGGTTCTCAACATGTTATTTTTTAAGACTATAAAGGGTTCCTGGGACTAAAATGTTTGAGGGTGTTGGTAAATCCTGGCTATAAATGGAGAGAGAAATAAAAAGCCACTGAGAGACACACACCAGGGTCCTCAAGGGAAAAGTAGAGAATCATGACCCTTTCCCAGTATTTTTTTCACAAAGACCACATGATTTCTGGAGTGTCTCCTCTTCTACTGAAATAAACGTTCTCTTCTGAGAGGCAAAGAATCATAGAATGAACACTAGATTAAGAATGTGAATTTAAATGAAATAATCCATGTAATGTGCTTAAAATAGTAAGCAGTCAAGAAAAATTAAGTTTACAAAATAAGCATCTGAATGTTAGTTCAAAATCCACCATTTATTCACTGTGAGACCTTGGATACTTTATTTAACTGCTGTGAATCTATTATCTGGAAAACAGAAATAACCAAGGCCATATTACTCTCTACATAGTACAACTACTCGTGGAATTGTGATGAGATCAAAATTTTAAAATGAGATAATGAATTAAAGCAAATAACAGTATTATATGGTCACTCATTATCATTTTAGATATTGTGATTTTTCCCATAGAACTTTTATGCTAGGATACTTTTAAGAATTCTTATACATATAAAAGCTTTCAGTTTGTGATGAATATTTTGTGACCTCCTGTTAAGGACTGAACGTTTTCATCTCTGAAAAATTCCAGTGTTGAAATCCTCGCCCCCAAAGTGATTATATTGGGAGGTGGGGCCTTTGGGAGGTGATTAAATCATGAAGGTGGAGGCTGCATGCATGGGATTGACACCCTTACAAGAGGGACCCTTCAGAGCTCTCTCGCCCTCTATCCTCCGTGTGAGGTTATAAGGATAGCTGGCAACCCAAAAGGGAGCCCTCATCAGAACCCGGCCCCGCTTCCAGCCTGGTCCAGCACCCGAACTGACTTCCAGCCTCCAGAACTATGATACATTTCTGATGTTTACAAGCCACCCCCCAGACTATGGTACTTTATTATAGCAGTCCAAACTAAGACACGTTCCAAGACTTTCACATCATAGGTATTTCTTCCTATTTTTATATTTGGCTCTGTTCTTCAGACAATGTCAGATGTAAATAGGCAAAACTATAATTTGACATAAGCTTTTAGTGGTAAAAGTGTTTAAGTTTAAATATGTATATATTTACTATCTGGCCTTTTATATAAAAAACTTGACCCGAGGTAGATTATTGAAACTTCCACAATAAAATGACTTCTTCAAAACTTTTCTTCCATATTTATGTAATACTTCACTTACTTGACTACTTTCCCCACATTTAAATATATACATATTTAAACTTCATGAAATATATTTACATTTCATGAGTATAAATTGCATGTATCTCATGTACATCCCAATTATCTTTGCTACGACATACATATAACAAAGATAACTAGGATGTACATGAAAAGATTATCAAGGTACTCACCAAAAATCTTTATAGTTACTATTCTGGATGGTAGAATAAAGAATGTTTTATATTTTTTTCTTTTGGAATTTGAATTTTATATTGACTATGTATCATTCTTACAAACAAAAAATTTAAAGCTATTTTCACCTTGAAAAATAAAAAAACACTAGAAAATTTTGTCAGCAAATCTTTCAAAAATTCACAAGGAAAAAACTTATCACCTGAGGGTACGAAAAAATGTGGAAGAATTTCATTAGGCAGTAGAGGACTTATTGATGACAATTTCAAATTTGATAAGTCTAGGGGAAAACAACCAAACAAACATGCAAAGCTGACCAATAAAGTCAGCAGTGCTATTCCTTTCCTTCCTTATGTTTCTAAACAAACCATAAAATATACAACAGATGTACTACTCACTGGCCATTGTCCTGTAGCATACAAACATGACATTATTTTTTCTTCCACATAATTCATTTATTTGATAAGCACTTAGGAACACCCACTATGCTCACGTACTGTTGTAGGGGCTGAGGCAAAATGGTGACTAAGACTGAGAGTATCTGCTCTCACAATGCTTAATAATCTAGTGGGGAAAGGAGCCAATAAGTAAAGCATTACATAAATATAGCAGAAAACTTTAGAAGAAGTTATTTTATTCTATAAGTTTCAATAATGTACTTTAGGTGTCAAATTTTTTATGTAGAAGGCCAGACAGTAAATATTTTAAGCTTTGTGGGCCACACAGCCTTTGTGCAACTATTCATCTCTGCCACTCTAATGTGAAAACCGCCACAGCCAGCCCATATACAATTAGAGTGTGACTGTGTTCTAATAAAATTTTATCTATGAAAACAGGGGTGAGATAGATCTGACTCACTGGCCATAGTTTGGCACCCCAGATCTATTTTAAAAGCTAACAATAACCACAAAATAAAATCCTAAAAGTTTTTCAAAGCATAATTGAAAGCATGTAGACCTAGCAGTAGAACTAGTTCAGTTGGTGTTTTCCTGTGTTCTGAAGCCACTGAATTGCTTATACCAAAATCACTTTTATTTCAAATTTTCTATGACTTTGGAAAAAGATCCTAAGAAATAACTAATAACTTAGGACAAAGAGTACACCTTTAAAGCTGCTTCTGTATTTAAAGACTCTGTGGACTTAAAATCATATCTGAATTCTCTTCATGGTTCTGTCAATAATTTGATGCAAAATAATGATGAAAAAATTTAAGTTTGGTTTCTGGATCTTTAAAAACTTTTAGAAGGGTACTACCAACTAACTCCATAGCAGCCAACATGAATAAGTTTTCACTGGAACCCACTGAGGATCTCAGGGCTCTAGTGAATATTCTCTGGTAAACAGAATGTGGCTAGCCTTCTCTTCAAACTAAAGAGATTTTTTTTTTCTTTTTTTGAGATGGAGTATCACTCTGTCACCCAGGCTGCAGTGCAGTGGCGTGATCTCGGCTCACTGCAACCTCTGCCTCCTGGGATCAAGGGATTCAGTCTCAGGAGTTGCTAAGACTACAGGCGCACACCACCACGCCCAACTAATTTTTTGTATTTTTAGTAGAGATGGGGTTTCACCACGTTGGCCAGGCTGGTCTGGAACTCCTAGCCTCAAGTGATCCTCCCATCTCTGCCTCCCAAAGTGCTGGAATTACAGGTGTAAGCCACCGTGCCCAGCCCTAAAGAGATCTTTTAATTTCAAAAGAAAAACATGTTTGTTGGAAGAAATAAACTAAACAAAACTGTAAAAAGTAAAAGCCCCTCTCCTAGTTGTTGAGTTTATCAGTTTACTTAAAAAATGGCTGTCGCTTATGCCTGTAATCCCAGCACTTTGTGGGGCTAAGGCGGGAGGACTGCTTGAGACCAGCAGTTTGGGACCATCCTGGGCAACATAGCAAGACCCGTCTCTCCAAAAAAAAAAAAAAAAAAAAAAAAATTGCCAGGTGTGATGGTGCACATCTGTAGTCCCGGCTACAAGGGAGGCTAAGGCAGGAAGACTGCTTGAGCCCAGCAGTTCGAGGCTGCTGTGAGATATGATCCCACCACTGCACTTGAGCCTCGGTGGCAGTGCAAAATCCTGTCTCTAAAAACAAAAACCAACAAAAAAAGGCATCTTACTTTCTATGTGGTCCTGAAATTTTTTTCAATTAATGTCAATGACTTTTAATTGTTCTCTTGGTTATCTAACAAGAATCAATAGAAGACTTTTACAAATTAAATGTTATAGAAAATTCTTTAACCAACTCAGTTTAATTCTAAACAGCTTCATGATAAAAAAAAAAAAAAACTTCCTTATATTTCCCAGTAATAAGAGGTTACTGTACGTCAAAAACAAAGGGTTGCAACACTTACTGATATATTGTAGTTTAATAAAACATAGTTTATACAGTTCATTGAAAAAGTATTTTAATACAAACACCACTTATACACAAAACCAAATGTTGATATTCTTGTTTTTAAAAATTCTTGATTTCTCTAAAACACTAAGATGCTATCTCAATAGAGATTGCTTCACATTTTCCAGTTTCTTGATCTGTGCATGTCACATGTAAAGATCCATCCCTAAACAGACAAAAAAATAAAGAACATTGCACAAGCTCATTTTATAAAAACATAAAGTCTGTAACAAGTTACTTGAGGGCTTTCAGTAAACAAGGGTTAATTTTAATTTTCAAAAGAAGGGTATTAATGTAAAGAATAAACACAATCTCAGTGTCTCTAAATTTAGTAAGTGTCATATGTTATATTTAGCTAGTTGTTATTAGGAACTTCCTTCCAGACCACTAAGATCATGGTTGTATTTCTTGAAAACCCATGATGACAAACATCTTAGGTTTAAGACTTTATATAAGCTCCAGATGCACCATGCTATTTTCAAGCCTAGGCCAAGGCAAACTCACCCTGATGAATTCTATATTCTTGCTAAGTATCGTTTATGGAGTAAGTTGTCTTTTAAGTTTCATTTGGAAAGGATTTACTTGTAATACATAGTGATATGGATAGCTTGTGGTTAGGAAAATGGCAATAGCTGAATTTAATTAGTACATTTTTTTCTTACAGATTTTCTGCAGCAATAAAGAAACTTACCCTTTCATAGGGCAAACAGTAACAGTTACATAAACCTTAGAAAATTATACTAGAAATTGATAAATTACATCTCAAATGAGCACAGATCAGTTTCTTAGGTTGATGATAGCCAAAATAAAGAGTTCCTAAAATATTCAAGATGCAAATGACTTGAGATATACTTTTCTTTGTAAAATATAGTAATTCTGGGGGCAAAAAATGTAATTCACTGATAAAAACCTCTGTAGGTTTTTAATGTTTCTTCTAGAATGACAATAAATAAAAAAATCAATAAACTCAAAAAATGGTCAAGTATCAAATTGAATTTTCTTAACAACAGAAGTTTAATTTTTTACCTTTTCATAGTAAGAACAGCTAATATATCACGTAATCCATTTTCTTTTTTATCTAAATCCTGGAGTACAACCTGTTTATACAAGAACAATATGAAGAGAATTCAGCATCTTTACATAAATGAACTGATGTATCAATTATTGCAAAGGACCAAAGCTTATTTATCACTGAAACAAACCTTTTTAAAATAGGGCAGTTTTCAATTCTCCTACCACTGAATCAGAATTCAGAGAATAGGAGTGAAGCTTTGTTAACTTGAAATGTTTCCTCCAGAAGGAGGGCATATAAGATAACTAATGCATTTGTCCCTTCTAAATGTCATGTCCTAGATTAAAATCATTGTTTCTAAGATGTACTATTAATCTTGGAAAATAAAGGCTACTTTTCTTTTTTGGTAAGTAAGCCATTCCCAGTAACACGCAAATTATAATTTGGCTAGCTTTCTATATATACTTAAAAAAAAAAAATCAAGCATTTTAAATACATTTGGAAAATCACCTACTTAAAAACATGGCAAACTCTTTTGTACAACTAAGATTATATTTGTAAGTAAGAGATGGTAATGAATTTACTATAAAATTCCTCAGTTTCCTAAAGAATGGTATATCAAGAAACCAGATTTGGAGTTCTGCAGTGACTTTAGGCTTTGCCAAACTCTAGTTTAATAACTTAGGTAAGTTACTAAGTACCTTGTTTTACTCATTTGTAAAATAAGGTTAGAACAGATGGGAACTCTGAAAGATTCTCTTCCAAATTCAGTATTACGTGGCTAACGCTCCTCCTGGCATCTTTAAGTTAGGATATAGTGGCAGCAGCTATGGAGTCTCAGAGAGGATGTGAAGAAAAAGGTAACAGAACTGTGAGAGAAGAGCTAAGGAAATACTAGGACTGCCATCTGAGTTCAAAAACCTGGTGCATGGGAAGGTTCTTAGACACACACAAACCAATTCATGTGGAAGCGCTTTTAAAACTTTACCAATAGATTCCAAGTTGGTAAGTCTGAGGTGCAGCCCAGGCATGTTATGCATGTGTGTGTTTTCATTACTCTTTTGTTGGAATTAGAAAATAAATATGTGGCCAGGCGTGGTGGCTCATGCCTGTAATCCCAGCAGTTTGGGAGGCTGAGGCAGGCAGATCACCTGAGGTCAGGAGTTTGAGACCAGCCTGGTCAACACAGTGAAACTGTCTCTACTAAAAATACAAATATTAGCCAGGTGTGGTGGTGCATGCCTGTAGTCCCAGCTACTCCGGAGGCTGAGGCAGGAGAATCAGTTGAACCCGGGAGGTGGAGGTTGCAGTGAGCTGAAATCATGCCACTGCACTCTGGCCTAGGTGACAGAGCAAGATGCCGTCTTAAAAAAAAAAAATTAAAATAAATATGTGAGCTAAAGATATGTATCTCTTTACACACACACACACACACACACACACACACACGTACACGTACACACACAATATCTCATCACTAATAAACACCCTGTCTTCTCAAAAAAGCTAGGCATTTTTAGTCTGCTTCTGGACTTCTCTGAATGTGCATATATTTTTTAAAAAACAATACTGCTTTGGGAGGCCAAGGCAGGCGGATCATGAGGTCATGACATCGAGACCATCCTGGCTAACACGGTGAAACCCTGTCTCTACTAAAAATACAAAAAATTAGACGAACGTGGTGGTGGGCGCCTGTAGTCCCAGCTACTCAGGAGGCTGAGGCAGGAAAATGGCATGAACCTGGGAGGCGGAGCTTGCAGTGAGCCGAGATCGTGCCACTGCACTCTGGCCTGGGCAAGAGAGCGAGACTCCGTCTCAAAAAAAGAAAAAACAAAAAAAACAGTACATTATTTTTTGTTACCGATATTTAATTTTTACTATAAAAGTAATTCATGCTCATGTCCTGTGCTGTTTGTAAAAAATTCAGTATAAGGTGTCAAAAGTCAAAAAACCCCTCTTGGTACCTTCAAACTTATTTACCTACTGTGAAGTTTCTGGAATATGGTTTAAGTACCTATAGATATTTTCTGTATAAATGCCTGGATATCTGAAAATGCACCCCTACTCAAATACTACCTCCTCACACACACTCATGCTCCCAGACTTTTTATTTAGATACAAATGGCATTGTAATACAAATACTGTTCTGCAGTCCGTGTGTGTGTGTGTGTGTGTGTGTGAATGCAACTGCATTTCTCAGACATGTTTCTAAGTAAATAACGTGGCTCTACTTCACTCTCTGTAAAGCATACAGAGGGTCACATAGTATAAGATATGCACGCGGTATTTTAAAAAAGCAAACCTATCTTGTCTCAGAGGCAGCATGGCACAATGGGAAGAGCATGTCATGGGCTCAGAAATGAAACCAACGTGAGGAGAAACCCTAGCTTGACCAAGAAAATAAAGGGTATTTGCTATCACAGGCCAACTTCTTAATCATCTGTAAAACGTACACAATAATGTGCATTTAGCATGAACCAAAAAATATAATTCTCCCATTCCACTTACCTAACTACCAAGGTAGGCCAAGAGCACAACAGAGAAGCAGTCTAAATACCCAGAACTCTTTCAAATTAGAACTGCCTATTTTTTCCCTCTTTCAAAAATGAGTACACAGGTGTTCATTTTCAGAAATGAGCCTTCATAAAATCCTTCATAAAAATGTATTAGGTGTCCTTTATATATATACACATTTTGTATTAAGATATTAAACTGAATCTAATCCAGAAAGCAAAGTTGAACAGTTTAATGTGTCTAACTTTATGTATTCACCTGTGCAAACTTGGTTTCCTCTTTGGCAGAGTTCTTCCCATCAGACTCATAGAGTTCAAGGCACACTGAAGATATGCTTCCAGGGGCTTGCAATGTGTGTTGTCTTCGAGCTGGCAAAGGAGTCCCTGATGGAAACAGCACTGTGAATCTACTGGCTCCTGATTCGTCCACACCCTAGTTAGCAGGAAACAAGGTGCATACTCTTTGGTATTTATCTTTACAATTGAAAAAAACTTCCCATTATAAATGAGATATATATTCCTTATTGATAAACAGGACACTAGGCAAAGAGAAGAAAATAGAAATAATCCTTAATCCTACTTCACTTTAAAAATATATTGAAACATACCTCTCTCTATATTAGCTTATGATTAATATTATACCTAACTTTTATTTTTCTAAAAAACTAAGAGGTTAGAGAAATATTAACTAAAAGAATATAAGACATACCTTAAAAGTAGGATTATAAATCTAAATTTAAGACCTGTCAGTATACAAGGTTTTATTGTAACATCATGGTATGTATAAAAACTTATGGCAATTAATTTACTATTTTTATGTAAAGTATAGAAAAGCTAAACATACCTTAACTAGTATACAAAAGCTAAACATACCTTAACTAAAATATCTCTGGCTGAACACTCTATCATAAGAGAGTCTTCCACCAACAGGTTTTCTTTCCCAATAAGAATTCCTGCTTCTATAGCTGCACCAATAGGGATCACTTCATCAGGAGGGATAGAATTGAGAAGCTCAACAGCTGGGAAAAGATCTTTAATCAGTTGCTGTAGCTTTGGGATTCGAGAAGACCCTCCACAAAGGACAACCTAGAGAATAAAAATAATTTTCAGTTGTTTACTTTTAGAAGAATGCTGTGTCTCAAAATTAAGTGTAATAGACTGAGTCATCTTCATCGTATGTAAAGATAAAATACAAAAAAAGCCCTATATATTAACATGTTATGTTATACTTAACCTATAAATACACAAACATATATTTAAACATATTATAGATATTTAACATATTCTTTATTCACAACAAAATTTAAAATGAGGAAATCTCACCATTTATTACAAAATACAGTAGAGCTACATACTTGGTTCATCATACTGTGCAGAAGAGGCTTAACCACAAATAGTCACTTGAATAGAAAATATATCAATATTTTGTACTGTCCAAGTTTTTTTTTTAAAAGTTTGAATCTTAAAGCATTTTTGTGACAAATATTGCTATTCTCTCTTAGTGAAAACTATGCCATAAACTTATTTGCCTTTACCATGGAAGAATATTAAGTTTCTTGAGGAAAAAGAGCTGATTTATAAAACTGCATTTTAAGCGGCTGGTACCATCTGATTAAATCTTTCTGAAGAATTTCATATAAAATTGCTCCCTTAAACTGTAAATCCCTTAAGTTGCTCATTGATTCATTCATTGAACACTTATGATTCCATGGGCATTCAGAATATTGAATTAATATATAACCTAAGAAGGGAAATCAATAGCCACTTCCTATTTCACAGTCTTTACGGATGATCTCACCGCTCACTGAGGCAGAGGACCACCTGATGAAAGCTAGGCCTCTTTCACGTTCAGTATGAAGTAATGAGGGACACCCTATTAATCTCCAGGTACGAGCATGAGGAACATCAGCTGTAGGATATTTTGTTTAAAAACTAGGTTTTCCTTGGCAAAGATCTTCAAAAGATCTGTTTGGAGGTAAGTAAAAAGAGCAATCTTCTCTAAAATTTTATGATCCCAGGTAAATACCAGGAGAACAAAAATGCAGAATATGCCTTTTCAAATTTCTCATATTCAACATCAAAAAAGCTTTATTAATAAGTAGCAAGTGGTATACCTAGGAATCCAACTTACAAGGGATGTGAAGGACCTCTTCAAGGAGGGCTACAAACCACTGCTCAACAAAATAAAAGAGGATAGAAACAAATGGAAGAACATTCTATGCTCATGGATAGGAAGAATCAATATCATGAAAATGGCCATACTGCCCAGGGTAATTTATAGATTCAATGCCATCCCCATCAAGCTACCAATGACTTTCTTCACAGAATTGGAAAAAACTACTGTAAAGTTCATATGGAACCAAAAAAGAGCCCACGTTGCCAAGTCAATCCTAAGCCAAACGAACAAAGCTGGAGTACCTGACTTCAAACTATACTATAACGCTACAGTAACCAAAACAGCATGGTACTGGTACCAAAACAGATATACAGACCAATGGAACAGAACAGAGCCCTCAGAAATAATACCACACATCTACAACTATCTGATCTTTGACAAACCTGACAAAAACAAGAAATGGGGAAAGGATTCCCTATTTAACAAATGGTGCTGGGAAAACTTGGCTAGCCATAGGTAGAAAGCTGAAACTGGATCTCTTCCTTACACCTTATACAAAAATTAATTCAAGATGGATTAAAGACTTAAATGTTAGACCTAAAACCATAAAAACCCTAGAAGAAAACCTAGGCAATACCATTCAGGACATAGGCATGGGCAAGGACTTCATGTCTAAAACACCAAAAGCAATGGCAACAAAAGCCAAAATTGACAAATGGGATCTAATTAAACTAAAGAGCTTCTGCACAGCAAAAGAAACTACCATCAGAGTGAACAGGCAACCTACAGAATGGGAGAAAATTTTTGCAATCTACTCATCTGACAAAGGGCTAATATCCACAATCTACAAAGAACTCAAACAAATTTACAAGAAAAAAACAAACAGCCCCATCAACAAGTGGGCGAAGGATATGAACAGACACTTCTCAAAAGAAGACATTTATGCAGCCAAAAGACACATGAAAAAATGCTCATCATCACTGGCCATCAGAGAAATGCAAATCAAAACCACAAGGAGATACCATCTCACACCAGTTAGAATGGCGATCATTAAAAAGTCAGGAAACAACAGGTGCTAGAGAGGATGTGGAGAAATAGGAACACTTACACTGTTGGTGGGACTGTAAACTAGTTCAACCATTGTGGAAGACAGTGTGGCGATTCCTCAGGGATCTAAACTAGAAATACCATTTGACCCAGCCATCCCATTACTGGGTATATACCCAAAGGATTATAAGTCATGCTGCCATAAAGACACATGCACACATATGTTCATTGCGGTACTATTCACAACAGCAAAGACTTGGAACCACCCCAAATGTCTGATAAGGATAGACTGGATTAAGAAAATGTGGCACATATACACCATGGAATACTATGCAGCCATAAAAAATGACGAGTTCATGTCCTTTGTAGGACGAAGCTGGAAACCATCATTCTCAGCAAACTATCGCAAGGACAAAAAACCAAACACCGCATGTTCTCACTCATAGGTGGGAACTGAACAATGAGAACACTTGGACACAGGAAGGGGAACATCACACACCGGGGCCTGTTGTGGGGTGGGGGTAGGGGGGAGGGATAGCATTAGGAGATATGCCTAATGTAAATGATGAGTTAATGGGTGGAGCACACCAACATGGCACATGTGTACATATGTAACCAACCTGCACATTGTGCACATGTACCCTAGAACTTAAAGTATAATAAAAATATATATAAAAATAAAAAAAAAAGTAAGTGGTGCTATGCAAAAAAACAAAGAAAACCAAAAAAAAAAAACCAACCTTGGAAAATATTGACTTTTTTTTTTTTTTTTTCCGGAGACAGAGTCTTGCCCTGTCACCCGGGCTGGAGTTGCAGTGGTACAGTCATAGCTCACTGCAGCCTCAAATTCCTGGGCTCCAGCGATGCTCCAGTGATCCTCCTGCTTCAGTCTCCCGAGTAGCTGGGACTACAGGGGTGTGTCACCATACCCAGCCAACTTTGTTTTGGGAAATCCAAGATTAAGGTGCCAGCAACACAGGCCATTCTGAGGTCTCTTTTCGTGGCTTGTAGGTGGCCACCATCTCACTGTGTCCTTACACAACCTCTTTTTTGGTACATTTTGGTGGGAGGGGGAGGGAGGGTGGTTAAGAGCCAGCTTTCTTCTCATGACAACAATAATTCTATCAGATCAGGGCCCACCCCTGTAACTCCAATTAACCTTAATTACTTCCTGAGATGTCTCATCTCTAAGGCCTTCTAAGTGAGTTCAAGCACCTGAGTCAAAATGGATTAAACTCCCTATTTCTTTGAGTGCATCTCAGGAGTTGTTAAAGAGGGTAAGAGTGAGAGAGGCAGAGAAGGCAAAAAAGAAGAGGAGGGTGGGGAGAAGCAGCAGACACAGCTGCCTCTGCTTATAATGTCACAACCTTAGAAGAGGTTATTAAGAGCAAGTCATGCTCTGTGGACACAAGAAGAAGGGAGGTGGGGAGAGGAAACATTAGAAAAGGACTAAGCCTGGGTTAGGGGACAGGACTGTTACACTCAGTTTATGATAGACACCTTGTTCAGATGATGCCTGATAATCATATGCCTCTGATTCCCCATAGAGACGACTTGGGACCTACTGATAATCAGTGGTCCTGAAGAGGCCACTGACAGCTCCTCATCCAGAGATGAGAGGATGAGTTGGAGCCAAGTAGCTAAGGCACTCCTTTAAGACCAATGCCAGCAAAAACTAGGACTGCTCCCCTTTTCAGTGTTTATGTTAAAAGGGGTCAGTTTGTTCAGACGATATAGGTCAGGTAGAGAAGTCTGAAATGGTCCATCTAATCTTTCATGCTCAGTTAGCATAAATAATATAAAAATTATAAATTATTGCAGAAAAAAAGAATACCTCCTCATAACCAAGTAAGTTATATCCCAGGTATACAATGATAGTTCCATATTAGGAAATTATTAATTCATTATATAGCTTTAAGATACATAAAAACAACGTCATAAGATCATCTCACTGGTGTCCAAAAATACATATGTAAAAATACAACACCCACTTCATATTAAAACGCCTTTAAAAATAGAAAAGGCCAAGCGCAGTGGCTCACACCTGTAATCCCAGCACTTTGGGAGGCTGAGGTGGGCGGATCTCTTGAGCCTAGGAGTTCAAGACTAGCCTGGGCGACATGGTGAAACTCCATCTTCACAAAAAATACAAAAATTATCCAGGTGGGTGTGGTGGCATGTGCCTGTGGTCCCAGCTACTTGGGAGGCTGAGGTAGGAGGATCACCTGAGCCTGGGAGTTCGAGGCTGCAGTGAGCCATGATTGTGCCACTACACTCCAGCCTGGATGACAGATGACAGAGTGAGAACCTGTCAAAAAAGAAAAGAAAGAAGGCCAGGCACAGTGGCTCATGCCTGCAATCCCAATACTTTGGGAGGCCGAGGTGGGCGGATTACAAGGTCAGGAGATTGAGACCATCCTGGATAACACAGTGAAACCCTGTCTCTACTAAAAATACAAAAAAATTAGCCAGGCGTGGTGGCGGGCGCCTGTCGTCCCAGCTACTCGGGAGGCTGAGGCAGGAGAATAGCGTGAACCTGGGAGGCGGAGCTTGCAGTGAGCTGAGATCGTGTCACTGCACTCCAGCCTGGGCGACAGAACGACACTCCGTCTCAAAAAAAAAAAAAAAAGAAAAGAAAAGAAAGAGCTTTCTCAATATGATAAAATCTATTTTCTTGGGGCTGGGTGCTGTGGCTCACGCCTGTCATCCCAGCACTTTGGGAGGCCGAGGCAGGCGGATCACGAGGTCAGGAGATTGAGACCATGCTGGCTAACACGGTGAAACCCCATCTCTACTAAAAATACAAAAAAATTAGCCGGGTGTGGTGGCAGGCGCCTGTTAGTCCCAGCTACTGGGGAGGCTGAGGCAGGAGAATGGCGTGAACACGGCAGGCAGAGCTTACAGTGAGCCGAGATCGTGCCACTGCACTCCAACCTGGGTGACACAGCTAGACTGTCTCAAAAAAAAAAAAAAAATCTATTTCTTTTTTTTTTTTGAGACAGAGTCTCACTCTGTTGCCAGGCTGGAGTGCAATGGCGTGATCTCGGCTCACTGCAACCTCCACCTCCCGGGTTCAAGCGGTTCTCCTGCCTCAGCCTCCCAAGTAGCTGGGACTACAGGCGCGCACCATCACGCCCAGCTAATTTGTGTAGTTTTAGTAGAGACGGTGTTTCACCATGTTGGCCATGATGGTCTAGATCTCTTGACCTTGTGATCTGCCCACCTTGGCCTCCCAATGTGCTGGGGTTACAGGTGTGAGCTACCGAGCCTGGCTGATAAAATCTATTTCAAACCAATTACCAGTAACCAATGTTTGTTGGTAAAAGTCTCACAGTATTCCCCTAATAAAAGGAACAAAAGAAGGAATCCAGCATTCACAAAAATATTTAAGTTCTGGCCAGGCACAGTGGCTCATGCCTGTAATCCTAGCACTTTGGGAGGCTGAGATGGGTGGACTGCTTGAGCCCAGGAGTTTGAGACCAGCCTAGACAACATACAGAGACCCCATCTCTACAAAAAATACAAAAAGGCACACACCTGTAGTCCCAGCTACTCAGGAGGCTGAGGCGGGAGGGTCGCTTGAGCCTGGGAGACAGGGGTTGCAGTGATGTAACATTGAGCCACAGCATTCCAGCCTGGGCTTCTGTTTGTTTTATATTTGATTGCTATGATCAGAACTTACATTTGTTTTTGGACAGAGTCTCAAACAAAAGGGACACATCTTAGAGAAATGTCTCCCCACTTACAGATACATCTTCTCCCAGCACCCTCAACCACCCCATTTTCCTATTGCCCTTGTAACACAACTTGAGAGTTGTCTATACTTGTCTCCAACACCTCACCATCAATTCAATATTAAACCTGCTCCAGTAAGGCATTTATCTCCACAGCTCCCCTACAATTGCTCTGACAAGCCATTCCACATTGCCAAGTCCAAGGGTCAATCCTCAAGGAGGTTAAGCCTCACCCTACTATACCTCTGGCATCACAGGGCAGCTGCTCTCTCCCTTCCTTAAGGATATGTTTTTGCCTGCCTTCCTGGTTCTCTTCCTTCTCACTGGCTGGTCCGGTGCCAGATGCCCTTCTAGCTTGCAAATGTCCCAAGATCCCATCCTGGGATCTCTTCTGTATTGTGGCTCTGCTTCCCCCATGGGTACACCTGTCCAGTTTCATGGCTTTAAAGAGTACATGTGTGGACAAACATGTCTCCAGCCCAGACCCCTCTCCCCAAATCCAGACCCCTACATCGATCTACAGCGAACTCTTCACACTGAGGCCTGAGCACTCCTTCTGGGGATCTGGGCCCTAGTTTCCTTGCCAAGCTCACCTCTGTCCACCGTCTCCCTGGCTCACTCAGTTCGGCCCCTGTTACCCTCCCTGCTGCTCCTCAGGCACCACTCACACTCTTACCTGCTGTTCCTCTGCCTGGGACACTGGTAGATATTCACATGGCTTGTTCTATCACTTCACTTCATTCAGGACTCTGATCAAAAGCCACTTCCTCAGAGGGGACTCTGACCTGAAAAATCACCCTCTGTCACTAGCTAGGCCCTTATCCTGCTTAATTTTCTTCATAAGATTTATCACAATTGGGCATTATTTTATCTGTTTCATATTACCTGTATATCCTCACTATATTGTTCGTTCTATGAAGGCAAAGACTTTGCCATAGCTACTACTGTATCCCAGGTGTCTAGAATCTGCCTAGCGTAGAATAGGTGTGCTCAATAATTATTTGTGGGTTAATCAGTAAATAAGTTTGAATGTATGCCTAGGAAATTCAGAAGACTCCATTAAAAATCAGTAATCCAAAGAGTTTACAAAGTGACAAAATGTAAGATAAATAAGCAAAATCACCAGGTATCTCATTTATCAGCAAAAACAAATAAGAAAACTAAAGTATTATCTCATTCACAAGAGCAATAATCCCATAGCACTCAGCAATAATTTAACAGTAAATATTAAGAAAACAAGGAAGTATTAAAGAAGATTTGAACAGATACCAACTTTGTGATTAGGAAACTAAATACTATAAGTTATTACATCATCCCAAGTTATTTATAGACAATGCAACTGTGTCAAAAAATGAGACTTTATGTAAGTTGAAAAAAATAATTCTAAAGCTCTCTGAAAAAAGAACTGTAAACAAAGAGAACTTTAAAATTGCAATGTTAACAATTAAGGTTTACATCTACTCAGAAAGTAAGTTGCTTTTTGGTGAGCAATTTGATAACAAATACTAAAAGTCTTAAAATCTAGGATTTACTCCTGAATTTTATCCTAAGGAAATTGAGGACATCCACCAAGTTACAAAGACTGTTGTATAACATACACATCCAATATACAGAAGGGGTGTTATGAAGGACGGTACATCAATGCAATGAAATACTATGGAGCTATTAAAATTGCAGCTACAGAACCCAGGAACTTGGCTAAAACACAGGGATTAACCATATTCATTTATCTAAGCTCCCTTTCACAAAAGCCCACTAAGCTGACAACAAAGGGATTTCAGAAGGTAAAGATAGAAAGGCAAAATAAATGGAAGAGAAATCTTGAGTTTGAGATGTCAACAAATTTTGGAAGCTGGAAAGAGGTAAATCAGATGAAGTTTGAGATAGCCGAAAAGAGGCAGGGTGGTCTGATGCATAGGATTCCAGGTACCAAACACCACAGAAAGCGAGGGTGAAGCACAGAAGTGAAAACACAAGGGCTGGAAAGCACACGTGTGGAGTGGCTGCACCTGCCCCCACCCCCAGCTTCTCCCTCACCTAAACAGGTGGCCACCTGCACCTTCTCCCACATCAGGGAGGGAGGTCGTCAACACATAGTGATAGAACTTTGATACAAAGATACAGCACGAACCAGGGTGGGGCATGGTGCTGAAAACAAGGGGGAAGAAGGGAAAAGTCTGCACATTCAAGAGTAGGAACCCTGAAGCTCTCTGCTCTCAGGCCAGAAACCTGTCCCCCTCAAGCAAGAGATGAGAGAATTTCTTCCAAAAAAAGCCAAACTCTCCTCATACTAGAACCCCAGGTACTAAAATGAGAAGGCAACGGTCACAAGCATGAAGAGCACAGGTGATGGAGACAGGCAGCCTGAGTTCTGGTCCTTGCCTCATCATGTAAGTGCCAGCCTCATGACTGCAGGACAAATTACTTCACCTCTCTGGAAACCTCTTAGTTTCCTCATCTGAAAATGAAGATAGAAGCGCCTACTTCCTGGAGCTTGTGTGAGGATTAAATGTTTTAATACATGTAAATCCCTATCATTCACTCCCCGTTCCCCGTAAGAGGATTACCCATCCCACTCACTCCCACAACTTGGTAGGTGGGGTATATCTCTCTGCCCCTCTGTCATACCCACTGTGACACTGAATGTGAATGCACTGACATGCACCTATCTAATCGAAGGCCCAGGCAGCTGCTCCTGTGGCCTGGGTCCTAGAACAGGAAGTGGAAAAGAGCCCCAGCAGTGGACCTGCAGCCACCTGCAGCTGCCCACCTGTAACCTAAGTGTTG